>NC_000003.12:197178562-197329562 GCF_000001405.40 Homo sapiens
AAGGGCATAGGACTAGATGCGATCACCTGAAATGTGAGTATAAAAAGAGAGTTCAAAGACTGAGCCCTGAGACATTTGAACATTTAGCAGTAGGAAAAAGGAGGATACTATAAAGGAAAATGAGGCTGGTAGAATATTAAAAGAGCAGTACTATCCACGAGTCAAAGGAGAAAAAAGAATTTAGAGGAGGGAGTAATCAATTGTGTTAACAGTTGTTGTAGGGTCAAGTAAAATGAACACTGAGAACTGGCCACTGGATTTGATAATCTACACTCACACAACGAGGGTTTTTTGGATGGTTGTTTTAATGAAAGATATTATAGCAGGTGTACATCCTGATAGGACTTATAGAGGCAAGTCTAGGGGCAGTACAGAGGCAAGACAGATGATGCAGTGAAGAGAGAAAGGGATTTCAGAAGTTCTTGAACAACCAAAGGGACTACGATCTAGTACAGAAGTGAATATGGGTAAGCTTTAGGCACACAGTTCATTTATTTTAGCAGGCTGGAACACAAAGCAAGATTATTTATTTGAGAATAAGACCAGGAATCAGGTATTGGAAGTTTAACGTGCAGTCTGCGAGTTGGTATAGAGAAGGCAGAGCTGCAATCCGGATGGTCTGGACTTTCTGTGGTGACAGGCTAAAAGGGATTTAGGATCTAAAAATAGTCCTCATGATATGTTTGGGGGATGCTTAGGGGAGCTTGGTACCAAGTGGATAATCACTTAAATTTAGTCATCTACACGTGACTGGTTTTCACCAATTTGTAGAAGGGAGTGCTAGGAGGGGAGGAAAGGTCAAAAAACTGGTAGTCTCATCAAGAATTTCAAAGGCTCTTTGGGGCACCTCCCTTAAATCCTGTAATTAAAGGTGTTGAGATCTCTGGTTCTTAAAAAAAGTGGATGGCTTGTACTTACAAATTAACTTAATCAGTCAACAATATTTACTGAATGTTTGAATGTACTGCGCTATCCTAGGTGCAATAATTCCTAATAATCTATATCTGAATTTGTTCATATACTATTAGAGTTAAATGATATAAAAATAAGCTAACAGGGGCACCTAACTCTAATGTAGCACTTACTCTGTGTCAGATGCTGTCCTAAGTACTTTATTAATATATACATTAAATTATTTGGTAGAAGTGACTCAATGACACTGATACTGTTATTCTCTCTATTGGACAATATATCCAATGCATAGCTCTAAAAATTAAATCCTCTATAACTCAGAAGGCATCTGTTTCAGACAAACAATATTTTTTAAAGTGTACAAATTAGCCTAAATATTTTTCCACACAGGCACTTGAACAATGTTTTCCTATATTTTTGACTTAGGACAGGGTTTTTCCTCTAAGCAGATTATTCAACTCAGCTAATATTTACTCTTTAAGAAAACTTTATTATTCTATTTCAATTCTGACAAGTTTTCATGTCTGTTCCATATTCCTAAGAATACAGCTTTGCTGCTCTCAGCTTAATTTGGCATGTTGTGTTTTTTTTTTGGGGGGGGGGGGGCTTTTTGAGTATTTATAGTGCTCTATATGTTGAGATTTTCAAGTAGTCCAAAATGTATGAATAGCTGCTATACACACATTCAAAATGACTGAACACTTCACAGTTATTTAAAGTTCATATGATTACTACTGACATTAATAAACGTCGATATCACTAAGTAAATAAAACTTTTCACCTAGGCGTTAATCAAGTAAAGTCTAGCAGCACTGTGCTGGAGTTCTATAAAACCCTGCTGAATATAAAAACTGGTCCCAGATTGGAACAGGACTGTGTATGCTAAGTAGGACGGGGCCGATTATTGAGTGACCCTCAACACAAGAATAGGAGGGACGCTGAGGGTGCGGAACCAAGGAGGGCTTCGCAATGCATAGAGAACTTTTTCTATACTAATCGTTTGAAATTAAGGACAAAAACACTATGAAGCCTCAAACTGAAAAAGTTTCACCAATGTAATTCATAAGAAACTCATTTTTATTTAACATTAAAAAATAAAACAACCTCTCAAAAAACCCACAATGTAAAATGAGATACAATGAAATGATAAAACTGAGAGACAGTGTGTAAGCTATTTGGTTATCACTACTGAGTGGGGACTGAAAGGGGTGAGGAAATCAGGGGAATCGGGGCAGTGTGACTGGAGGATAGTATGAAGAATGGAGGGGAAGAAAAGGCAGTGGAAAAGGAGATGGGCTGCTGTGAAAAACCAAAGACACTTGTGAGGGAAGAGAGAAGATCCAATCAATACAGGTACTGAAGAGGTATTAGATTAGGTGTCATATTTTGGAAGGCCAGGAGATAACATTTGAGGTGAATGGAATAAAAATTAATTAATTCTATAAGCATTTATTAACACCAACTACATGCCAAACCCTAACTGAGAAGCTAGGTGTCTTGCAAAAGTTTATAACCACTCAGTTTCCTTATCATTCAAAAAACATTAATGACTTCCTCCTGAGTTCCAGTATCATAGTAGAAAATGGCACATAATCTTAGTTATGAACATGAATACCTCCAGCAGACAAGCAATTTAAATGAATCTGTAAAATAAGTACAGGTTCTTTTTATGTATTGTGTATATTTGGGGGGATATTAAATCAGATACTTTTCATACTGTATTTGGGGGGGATACTAAACCAGATAGTTTTCATACTAATAGAACTTGATTTATAACAACTCTCCAATCTGCAAAAAGTATCATGTGGCTTAGTCATATGGAATTAGATTCAAAGTTAATCTTTCTGTCAAATCTTAGAGTATTTTTGACATCAGTGAAATAAGAGACCTCTGTTATTTACCAATCGCAGTACAAAACACTATGACCTTATTATATTCATAGGTATATATTATATGCTCTAAGTATGAAATTTCAATCTACGTTGTTTCTAACAATAAATCCCTTAGTGCTGCAAAAGAAAGCTGCCAGCCATGAGTCAGTAAGTGCAATTTAAAAAAGTATTCTAGTATCAAGTAAGATCCAATTATATCTCAAGTTATTTTTCAGTCCCATTATATTTTAACTTGTCAAATCAACTCCAGTAAGTTATAAAAAAATTAAGATATATAAACTATCCAATGTATCAGTTACAAAAATGTATAAAATGAAAAACAAAATGTTGGTACTCCAGTGCAAGAAAAACAGAAGCTAAAACCTCTACCCTAATACTCCTATTTCTAGAAATAAAATAGAAAGGTAATGAAAAAGACAAGATGAGAATCAGGAAAGAGGTCTGAAAGAAATAAAAACTATTAATAACTCATATACTAGCATACAGGAATGCTCTGAACCAAACTGGGTGGGGGCTGTCATGTAAAATGGCTTTGCAGAGCTGACTGCGAACAGGGGTCATGACTCTCTTCTGGCGCAATCACAGCAACGTTCTGCTCCTACTCCCAAGCGGCTATAACGTAACTCTGTGGTTTCAACACTTTATACATGAACTACTTTTCCTGTCTTTTCATTTGCCTGCTTTTAATAAACCGAGTGACAGATATATCAATGCTAGTGTTATCTGTGCATACATATATAGAAGGGTGTGCATTTACATAAACCATATATATATATAAAAAGTTCTAAAGATATCTGTCTTGTTGACAATGGAAAATATCATCTAGTATTAATCTACAATGAATAACATTGTCAACCTTTAGTCTTTGCATCCTTTCGTGATATATGTAATTGCAGTCAAAATAAGGTTAGTAAAATTCTTGGGGCAGTATTCAATTTAAGAGTTAAATCAATCGTTGCCCATTCAATAAGTTTTGATTGTAACTTAACCTCAATGCCTACATAATGACTCCCCCTTCCTAGGTAATTCCATTTCTCCCAAATATTTGAGAAAAGTAAGTAGAATTTCTTACTTAAGAAAGCTGATGTTATTTTAAATCAACACCATTAAAAGACAATTCTAGTAACCAAAAACAGTAAAGAAATTTATAAAAAACATATAAAGAAATATAGAACTGTTGACAGTTATAGTTTATATTTATTGAGCTGCTTCTATTATTTTCTTTAAAAGACAGCTTTAAGGGAATTTATTTTAAAAGGTCCTAAGGAATGTGTATGTATGTATTTTCCTAATTTAAATATCACTGATGTCAGAGGACAAATGCATTCTCAACTTGTTTTTAGACCATTTCTCGTCCTTTTATTTTTACTAAAGTTGAACTGACTGCTTAAAAATATTTAGAAATATGAATATTTCCTCAAACCACCCTTGTAGCAAACAATAGGTATTTCAAACAATTATTAATTTTTCTTTATTTTTCCTCCCATAGACAATAGCTCATTTCCTCAAAAAGTGGTGTTATGTGATTTTTTTTAATTTTGAGAGACTTTTAGTATTTGCTCATCTCTTTAAATTGTGATTTGACTATGTGAAAAAATATTCCATGACTGTGTAATTGCACAAGTTCACTTAATTTCAAATTAAGCTAGATAAATAATATTTACAAAAAACGATTCATTAAATCCCTTGAATAAGCCATAATATAGCTAAGATGTCAGTATATATAATACTAGCCAATTATATTAAATTGAATCTATTTTCAAAACACTGAAAAATGAAAATATTTCAAAGTATCTTCTGTTTCTTTACTGTAACAGTCTCCCTAAGGTTATCTAATAACATACAAAAACTAAACAAATCAGCATTTTCTTTGGTCAGACATCATACTCTACAGCATTTAGCACAGTCTAAAAAGGAGATGAGCATTATTAATTCATATTTTATGTATCAATGGGCTTATATTTTTAGAAAAGTCATTCAATTGAATCTGAGGCTATTTTGTTTGGTATTACATAAGAGCATAAGGAAAAATATTTCTTGTTCCCCCTTTTGTGCTAAAGACCTACACGGATGGACAGAAAACATACATTTCTACACATCCAAGGTTTCAAGGCTATTCTTTAAATAAAAAATCTATATTAAGACATTTTTACAGAGCAAACGTAAACAGAAATAGATTGAAAATAATTTCAACAAGTGGTATGTTACCTGGGTGGAGCTGGTGGCTACCGAGATGCAGTCAATAAAGCTGTGTCTTCGAGTGAAAAATGCAACTATCTGCTGCCAGCGTGAAGGTTCTGGCTCAGCTTGCAGTTCATCTGACGAGCCCTTTTTTGCCCAGTGTTTCTGCTTTGGGCCTGCTGAGCCATGGCTAGAGCTAGTATTGCCTCCTCGACTGCCGCGAGAGTATAGAAGTGTGTTGTTTCCGAAAATGTAATTCATCTCTGCAGCCCTGCAGGTGGTTGCCAAGCAGGCTTACTTCTCTACCAGCTGCTGAGTGGTGAATGATCGGTAAAAACTGCAGCTACAATTACAGCAGCATCACTTGTAGATCAGTGAAAATAAAAACCTTGAGAAATGATGCTCATTTTCTCAGTGATTTCTTCCTATGAAAGAGCTCGTATCTTCCCTCTGTACCTGTTAGCTGTATGATGGCTGAGTTTATTTTTGCAGACAAAAAAGACGACATAAGGTGGATTTCTTTCTCATGATTATTTTTTCACCAGCGTCTGCAGGAACCAAAAGCTGTTCTTTTGTTAGCTGATAACTAGATGGATTGAAATCCAGGAAGTGAGGTCGATTAGCAGGTAAAGAAGGATGCTATAAACACTGGACTACCAAGACCCTGTGGGGCTGCCTGATTTAATGCACTGCGTGGAAAAACCCTGGATTACCAAGTTTCAACCACAGTCTGTAGTAAAATCCAATGGCACCTTCACTGCTTATATAAATTATAAATATGAACTGAATTAAAACATATAAGAGGATTCTCTCTGCAAATAGTTCTGACTGTTAAAATGATTTCACTAAAAGAATCTTTGTCATTCATATCCAAATTTCTACACCAGGCAGATCTTACACATTATCTGGCACTGGCTCTAAGTTGTTCAAAGGTGCTGCCTACATTAAACTCTGACTATCTAACGATAGCGCTTCATTACAAATGGATTTTCCTTTATCATTTTATGTAATGTATTGGTTTTTAATGATTAACAACTGGGTCTCAAGGTAGATTAATTACTAAAACAAGTATTTTGCTTCTGGAACCTTTATGATAAAAAAGAACTTTCAAGAAATTATCAGCATCATCTCTCTAGTATTTTATAAACATTCATATTACAAGGTCATAAATTTCTAAAAATGAGAAAGAATTAACGCTGGTAAATTTTTCGTTTTATAATCAGTGAAATGTGTTTTATCCAACTCTACATAAATACCACTCTGGTTCACCAAATACTATCACCTGATTGCTAAAGGAACATATTCTAACATCTAATATTTAGGTTAACATAATAGTTCGCCTGAGAATTGCCTGGGGCGCTAGTTATATATGCAGATTGGTGTATCCTCTCCCCATCAAAATGTTTACGGGCAGGGGGAACCTGGGAATTTTTATGTTTAAAATGCTTCCCAAGTGACTCTTAAGTACCTTCAAGTTTGAGAACCACAAACTCCCAAGCAAGCCCTCTTAACACTGTGCTATATTAGTAATTACAACAATGGTCATTTTAAAACAATATGTGAACAAAAACGCTACTTGATAATTTACTATTGGTTGAATAATCTAATTTTTAAGCTGATAAGAGCATATCGTAAGTCCCAACCTCAGCCATGGATATTTTTTCGGATGTGGACTGACAGAATCTTCCTTGTCTACGTGCTTACCAGCACCAACTGGATGCAGCCTTTTGTCAAACTACAATGTTGAGGTCCACTGCAAATCTTGACTCCGCAAGAAAACATGCTAATGCTGTCTCTATGATGCGTCTGCTGAGAAGTGAACATGTGCTCAGTAAGGGTGAGAGCCATGTGGGACTCTTGAGGGCAAGATATTTTGTGACAGAGATTATACCAGAAAGTTTGGTGCTTCTTCCCAAGGACTGTGCCGGCAGTAGCTGACAATTTATGGCCCCAGAGTGATCCTATCTAATTCGGAGTAGAGAATGTAAGAAAATACTAAGGGCGGACAGGTAACTAAGAATCCTCTTGTGAAGGAAAAAATGAAACCTCCCAGAAAAAAATTCAAGTTTTGTTATGGACCAGGTACCTAGTAAAGACCTGATTAGTGTGGTTTATATAAATGCTACGGTAATTGGTCTGGCCCTAAAATATGTGCCTTGATCCATGTCTGATGAAAACTTCAAGGGGAGGAGAAAACTGATATGGGTTCTGTTATTCTGAATTAGTATGGATGAAGATACTGAATACAACTGTTGAATGCAAATCTCCTACCTCAAACTGTAAACAGTACCAAAAGACATACAATAGTAGGCTCTTAGTGAGCATCTATTTATCCTACAGAGCCAGAGAACTTAGGGGTCAATGGTAGGCTCTTAGTGTGCATCTATTTACCCTACAGAGCCAAAGAACTTAGGGTACAATCTAAAGTTGACAGATCACTGCCTCCCATATTTCCCCAATGTACAGGGAAGAAATACTTCTTGATGCAAATTTCCTATCCAAATCCATTCACATCAAGAAAACAACTTCAAGTTTTGGGAAAGACTTCTTTATGAAAATGTCCTGTTACATGACCTACAAAAATCTAGGAACACCTCATCCATTGGCCAGTAGTCAGTATATGCACACAAAAAATCTATACCTAAATCACAAGAGGGGTTTCACATGAGATTAGACTGGGAGGTGGAAGGCGGAAGGCAACCAACTGTTCTTTGCTTTAGAATATCCTCTCTCATTACACAGCAGAGATGAAAGATAAAAACTCCATTAAAACCAAATTTAAGTTCATTAAAGAAAAACCTGGAAAACCTATTTAAAATAATGGATGAAAAGATGGTATGCAATCTAAACCACCAAAAGGAATCACTATTAACATCTTAATATGATATACAAAGAATATTCTTTTTTCCGTAATGTGTTTTCTTTTTCAGAGTGATAATATAATCTATAGAATTCTAGCCTAAACAATAGAGAAAGCTTAAGTTAGTAAACTAAATACGATTAGTTCAGTGGATTACTATGTAATTCAAAACATGATTATGAAAAATTTATGACTATGAGGAATATTTACAATATTAAATGGTAATAAAAAGTTAAAAATTTATACTGGATAGGCTCTCAATTATTTGTGTACGTTTCTAAAGTCACAAACCCAGCAGTCTTTAGGTACAGAAACAAAGGCAAATACTAAATAATCTTTTATTTGTTTGTTTTTGAGACGGAGTCTCACTACGTTGCCCAGGCTGGTCTTGAACTCCTTGGCTCAATCCATGCTCCTGCCTCAGCCACCCACGTAGCTGAGGTTACCACCATGCCCAGTTTACTAAATAATCTTAGTGAAAAATGTAAAAAGGTAAAGGACAAGAGGAAAAGCAATACTGAAACTCTAAAGTACAAAAAAAACCCACCAAAAACCCAAAGTAACTACAAAGCTAATGTAACGTAAATGCAATATAACAGGCATTTTTATTACTCTTTTCTAATGTGGGCTATTAAATTTCAAAACATACAACTGTATTGAGATAAGACAAGACTGAGAAGAGTGACAAGAACACAGATTTGCTATTTATCTAGAAAACCCTCAATGTCACACATACAAAATCCCTTCTGTATGAGCACCATCTAGTGGTCAGTGCATGCAAACTATATGCTCACCTTAGTATACCAGGTCCATGATAAAATTCAATCATGTTTCTATATGTTCCAGAGATGTAAAGATAAAGTTGATTTCAAAAACTGCTCATTATATACTAGAAACAGGAAAACTTCTATTCCTCTAGCATTTGGTTCAAAAGGCTTATATTTGCTTGTGTCCATTTTTCTGCCACTCCCATTTCTTACAATTTTTTAAAAACTACTAAGAGCTGCTAGTGATTTCATTATATTCTCAATACTACTGGATGAAATAAAATGCTAGGAAATATACTTATTTAGCACAATTATCTGCTCATTGACCCTGTTTTTTCTGTTTGATTTCAAGTCCCTCTTAGTAATGTTTACTTTGTATACAATAGTTTGAGCATAATTTTCCTTGCCATTGAAGACAAAAACCAAATATAAATTACTTGTTTCTTCAATGATCACTGCATCCTCCCATACACTCAATAATACTCCTACTGTCCTCCCTGTTGCTTCATGTACATTTCAAACTTTTTGGGAAAAGGCTGAGGTTTTTATTTGTTCGATTTACTGTTCTAACAATTTTTCCTAATTCTCAGCTCATTTTCAGTTTTAGAACCTTGACACTACTCTTACATAACCCCAAAATTTACCCACTGTGTCCTTCTCTTCGACATTAAGATTTTTAAAAAACTATTATATCCCCTATTTCTTTCTTGATATTCTTCCCAACACTGGCAAGAAAGTATCCCTTTCAGAGTCTTAAATTATAAAATCATAATTATCTTTATGCCAAGCCCTGAATAAAGTAACCCAATCACTATCTTACTTTACTCATTATTCCAGTAAGGAGAGCCACCACCATCCACTACCACCACCACCACCACCACAATAATCTAATAGATTAATTCACGGCATGTTTCATGGTGGCAAACCTTTCATAAGAACATTCATCATACAGGTCTTTTAGATTTTGCCCTCATTTCCTAACATGCACCCTAAGTATCAGCAATAATAACATAAACCTTCCTGCATTTCTACAGTTTCTTGTGATTGTCACCCTTCCACTGTATTTATTTACCCCAGTAACGGCCTCCTCCTCTGACTTGGCATCTTACACATCCTTCAACACTTTATGCAAATGTCAACTTGCTTTTTTCAGAAAACTCCAAGAATTTAATTTCTCCCTCTTTCATGTCACATCATACTGTGTTAACTATCTTTCCGTAAAAAAATACTAATCACTGATGTCTAACACAGTTACTAGCACAGATGTTTAATAACTGTTTGCTAAATGCATGTATTGCTTGACACAACTAATATCCTAGCAGTTGATTTTTAAAGCATCTATTAAATTTTATTTTTACCATTAGCTTTTATTAGAATTGTGAAGACTAAAGCTGTGCCTAATTTACAATCTACTCAGCAAACCACTGTTAATTCTAAGATACTTTTTCAAATTATAAAATAATAATTCATATACTGACTTCTACATGCAGCGTAACAGCTGTTCACTCCAAACCACAATACTATAAAAGAGGAAAAGCTCTCTATATTAGCTTTTATTTTAAAAAAGAGACTACTAGTCTAATACTTGACACTGTATTTTAAATAAATTGTTGAGCTTCTTATAACATTCTGGTTTTTTAAAAATTAAGATGAAAAAGCATTAAAGCTTGCCTTCTTATGTCAAAATAAGGGTTGTTTTCCTTCAATTCCGGTTTTCTAACAAAAAGTTAAAGGAACCCTACCTACTCTGCTATAATGCTCACCTGCTCCAAATCTATTACACCCCTCAAATAATTATTTTACGTGGCATCTGCCACAGTAACCTAGGAATGAAAGAGGGGAAGCAGGTAGAAATTCCCCAAACGAAACAGTCTTAATCATTCTTAAATTACAATTCTATCAGAATACAATCTGTCAGAAAGTTTCAAGAACTTGAGAAACGTTCATATTCTTCTGACTCAGTAATCTGACTTCTGGTAATCCATCCAAAGGAAAGAAACTAAATACTTTTCATGTCCAAAGATTACTCATTGCAGGTTTCTTTACAAAACCTAATAAAAATAGAGATAACAGATATCTGAGAGCTGACATGGTCATCAAATTATGGTGCAAATATATCAGGCAATATTATGTATCAAGTTTAAAGTTTTTAAAGTTTAAATTTTTAAAAACTTGATACATCATATTACACAGGAAATATACAAGAAAATATGTTTAACAAGTTTACAATAGGAAAAAACATTAACATATTAAAGTGTGATTTAGAAACAAATGATAGAGAATACACACAATTTTTTTCTGCTGGGATTGAAAATCCTTATCTACTCAGTTTGCAAATATGAATCAGACAGCCAGCAAACCAAAGTGAGGGAAAGGGGACTAGTGAGGGAAAGGGGACTAGTGGTTTCACTTAAGAACCCCAGAGGATGGTTTATAATTGTTTCAGAGACTGATCCTGTTAATACCTAACAAAAGAGAACAAGATGAACAAGGCAGAGCAAGAGAATGGCCCACAAAGATGGCCAGGTTTTCAGACGCTTCTCATAGAACCAGCTGAATGATTATCATAATATCCTAAGACTCAGGAAAGCATGCTGGTACTTTCTTGATCTTAACAAAACGTGTCAGGAAAGGTTTACATATGACTACACAAAGATCGCCACTCAGATAAGGCCATGACAAAATGCCAGCAACTGCAAGATTTCCACCAATTTCAGAAATGGTAAATGTGGAAAAGGTAAGTCTTAGAACTGATGATAAAGGACACTTTAATTAATAACATACTCCTTTAAGCCTCTATAAAATATTTCTTTAAAAAGCTGTGAGGGACATAATCCTTTATCATTGTCAGAATAAACAAAAAGCAAGTATATGTAAAGAAAAAGCAATTTAAAGCAGATACCAAAAAACTGACTTCTCATCTCTTATGGTCAGAAAATTAAGGAAGAAATGAATCAGATTAAGAAAGCAGTGAAAATCTTAAAGTATGAATGCTTTCTCTCTCAATACTATCAATTTAAGTCTCTCACTCTAGAAGGAGGATTCGACAAATGATGTCAGAAGTTTACTTGTAAATATTAATAGCTCAACACAGATAGCACAGTAGTGCAGGAAAATACCTCAAGCTTTGCATTCACGGGGGACTAGTTCCAGGACTAGTCCCCCGTGAATCCTCGCATACTGTACCCAAATCCTCACATACTGAAGTCCTGAAGTCAGCTATGCACTTACAGGAAGTCAGCCCTCTGTATACTTGGGTTTTGCATCCTACAAATACTTTTATGTTTGATTGCATTTGTTTGAAATCTGCATTTGTTTCATCCGCATATAAGTGGAGCAGTGCAGTTCCAACTCGTGTTGTTCAAGGGTCAACTATAGTAGCCGTAATAGTGGTGGCACAATGCTTCGCAACTGTGCCCGCACATTAGAAACACCTGGAGAACTTGTAAACCTCCCAAAGGCCAGTCTGCGTTCCAATTCACATCCCAAGATTGATCACCTTGCATTTAATTACAAGAATCATATACGGAGATGGCTGCTAAAAGGGTTTTGTCGGCCGGGCGCGGTGGCTCCCGCCTGTAATCCCAGCACTGTGGGAGGCCGAGGCGGGCGGATCACGAGGTCAGGAGATCGAGACCATCCTGGCTAACACGGTGAAACCCCGTCTCTACTAAAAATACAAAATATTAGCCAGGCGTGGTGGCGGGCGCCTGTAGTCCCAGCTACTCGGGAGGCTGGGGCAGGAGAATGGCGTGAACCCGGGAGGCGGAGCTTGCAGTGAGCCGAGATCGCGCCACTGCACTCCAGCCTGGGCGACAGAGCGAGACTTCAACTCAAACAAAACAAAACAAAACAACAACAGAAAGGGGGGTTTTGTCATATTAATCTTTGATTTACACAAAAAGTCTTCCCAATTATAATGAAGTAGGTTTTCACTGATGAAGGTAGTGGCTTATTAATCAGCAAAATGGGATTTCACTGGTGAAATCCATAGCATCCCAGTTATGTGAATTTTTTGAATTAATTTAGAGACATAATACACCCTTGCATAAGGGAAACGGAAGACTCTGGAGAGGCCTAAACCCTTAGGGATAACACCTTAGGTTTAATCCCTAAGACATCTGGAGACTCTGGGTAAACAAAATCTTGTGTCTGGAACATTGTTTTATCTGCTTAGAATGAGCATTTTAGGCAACAACGGAAAGCTGAGGTTTCATGAGATTTAAAGAATAGGCTACATAAAATATGCATGCTGGCTCACTGTTTAAATGTCTGCTTGTGTCATAATCTGCAAACACACCAAAATAACTACTAAAATACCTACCAAAAGACCAGAGTTGGCCATGTGCAAATTGGCTTTGGTTGGTTTGTAACAATAAGGATGACCGGAAATTCAAAACATCAGAAATAAAAAAATTATACATATCCTGGGAGTGTTTTTGGACAAAAATAATAAATAAATTAGATTAACTCAATCAAGATAAAAGCAGGCTGACAAGAACAGCACATTCAACAAGCAGTGTTAGGGCTTTACCCGTGCTGAGGTTCTTATGTTGTCTGGAGTAAGAGTGAATGGCATTTATTTACTTTAGACTTTTAAAAGTTAAACATATATTAAAATTTCTACAATAACCACTAAAGGAAGAGAAACAATTTTTAACTTCCAAGCTAGTAATAAGGGAAAGTGAGATGAGAAAATACAATCCAAAAGAAGATATGAGCCAGGTGCAGTGGCTCACACCTGTAATCTCAGCACTTTGGGAGGTCAAGGGAAGAGGATTACTTGAGGCCAGGAGTTCAAAACAAGCCTGGGCAACAGAGCAAGACCCTGTCTCTACCAAACAAAAAAAATAGCCAAGCATGATGGCATGTGCCTGTAGACCCAGCTACTTGGGAGGCAGAGCTGGGAGGATCACTTGAGCCTAGGAGTTTGGGGCTGCAGTAAGCTATGACTGCCAATGCACTCCAGCCTGGGCAACAGAGCAAGACCCTGTCTCAGAAAAACAAAAACAAAAAAGACAAAATGGAAGGAATAGTCTCTAATGTTTAAGAATTAAACACGCTTCTAAGTAACTCACGAGGCTAACAAAAAACAAATCACATCAGACATTAAAAAAATACAATAAGAAAACATTACATATTCAAACTTGTGGGATACATTTAAAAATGCTGTTTCAAGAAACATTTATAAAAGAATACTACTAGAAAAGAAGGCTGGTAATTAGTGCAATAAGCAAGTGACTTGAGAAACTAGAAAAACAAGAAAACAGAATAAACTCAAAGAAACCAAAAAAGAAAAAAATAATAATGATAAAAAGAGAAAGGAAGAAAAGATAGAAGAACTGTTTCTGCCACTAACTGGTAAACAGCCAAAAAATCAGATTTTTTGGCTGTTTACTCTCCTTAACTCTCTTTTAGTTCCCCAAGGGAGGATCAGATTACTTATACTGAACACTATCTTTAATTGATATTCAGCTATCCTACATGTAACTTATATTTACATATACACATATGAATGTACATACATAAACATGTCTTTATGTATGTGTATGTGTGTATAAGAACAGAGGGGTAAGGGTGGTGGCAAACAGGGCAGGGACTCAAGATAATTGTTTTTTTAAGACGGTTCTTTGAAAAGACCATCTTTGAAATTGACACTTTTGGCAAGAATGGTGACGGAAAACAAAGAGTCTGAAATAAGTGATATTATGAATAAAAAAGGGACCATGCCTACATATGCTATAGATATTAAAAGGTATTAGCAGGATATCATAAATAATAATTTGAAAATATATCTGAAATGTTAAAAATTACTAGAAAAAAATAGCCTAGCAAAATTAACTGATAGAAAATCTGAATCGTACTATAACCATTAAAAATTTTAACCAGTAGTATGATATCACTCCTCAAAGAGAATTACAAAATCCAGGTAAATTTTACTAGTAAGAAATGATCCTTAATGAAAATACACACAACCAACAAAGGATTAATATTCAGAATATAAAAGAAATACAAATCAATAAAAAGAACGACCCAATACAAAAATGAGCAAAAATCTTAAATGGGCACGTAACAGATAAGGAAACCTAAAGGACCAATAAATATATCATACCTCCCTAGTAAAATTCCCATTAAAATCACACTCAGATACCATTTTGAAACCAAAACAATGCCAAAAATAAGAATACCGATTGAAGAGAACATGGATCAATTAAAAACTGTTAGATGTTCCTGCTGAAACTGGAAATGACACAGCTACTGAGAAACAAGCTGGCTTTATCCACAAAGATGTATATATAACCTGTGTTTTTACAAGCACTTTTTACACTAGTAATAACCTGAAAATAAATCCATATCCATCAAAAGTAAAATAAATTGTAGTATATTCATAAAATAGAAAACTCTAAAGCAGTGAAATTTATCAATGTGAGGAATGTAATACTGAGTAAAGAGTGCAAGTTAAATATACAGTATGAGTCCATTTATATAAAGTCCAAAATATGCAAAACAATTGATTAGCAATCGAAATATATGGTAGAACTTTAATAAGAAAGGGTAAATATACTCAGGATTATAGTTACTTCTGAGGGGAGAGATGATAGGATCAAGAAAAGTCACATATTTGGAATTTAAAGATGATGTTAATGCTCTTTTTTTTTTTTTTGAAATGGAGTTATTGCTGTCGCCCAGGCTGGAGTGCAGTGGCGTAATCTAGGCTCACTGCAACTTCCGCCTCCCAGGCTCAAGTGATTCTCCTGTCTCAGCCTCCTGAGTAGCTGGGACTGCAGGCATGTGTCATCATGCCTGGTTAATTTTTTTGTATTTTCAGTAGAGATGGGATTTCACCATGTTGGCCAGGCCTGTCTTGAACTCTTGACCTCAAGTGATCCACCCACCTCAGCCTTCCAAAGTGCTGGAAATGCACTGTTTCTATACCAACTAATATTTAAAAACAAGTGTCTGAAAATATTTCAGTGTGTGGTATTTGAAATTTAATAGTTATTTCCATCGTGGGAATTTTTAGACTTAAAGATAGCATCACTGACTAACATTCATTTATAAAATACATATTTAAAAATGTTTTCTGGAGTACTAATAAGCACCTTGAAATTCTCCATAACTATGAAACTAAAATGGGGGGGTGGGGTAGGGCGAACCTACATGAAAGAATACTTCTCTCCGAGCATGAGCTATATGTATAACAAAAGTAATATGTAATTCATAACAATAATAAATAGATACTATCCTACCTTTATTGGTGAAATATGAGAATGAGAAACAAATCCATGGACATTCTCAATCTCTGATAAGTTCTTCTCTGAGACATGAACCAATTCTGGACCTATCACTTCATTTGTGATTTGTGGGGAAATATGCTCTTGAGGAGGTGTATCTTCATCCTGATACCTGTATTTCTGTAAAGAAAATAAACATGAAGAAGCCCTGATAAGCAACATGAGTTTAATTCAAATCATGGTTTTCATAACTAGCCAAATACTCAATATTTAGCAATATAAAAAGTATATTTATGGTTTAATACATCAGATCTCAGAGAAATAGGATTTTACTTTAAAAATAATGCCAATAATAAAATTATTTAATTTAAACATTAGAAATAATTCAAAGCTAGGTGACAAGAGAAGACTGAATATTGATTGCTCATTTCTTACCCAATGTTAACTGAATCATGTATCTCTAAGATAAAATTATTTAAATAAAGTCAATGGAAAAGCCAAAGTTAGGCACCTTAGTCTGGTTTTCTTACTCCGTTAACTTGTACACAAATTTTTTAAAAGTCAGCCATTTTAATTTCTACCTGAAAATTAGTTCAGCAGACAATCACATTTTTTATTTTAACTATAATCTCTCTCTCTCTCTCTCACACACACACACCTCTATGCAATCTATTTCTAAAAAATTACCATAATTTTAAAAAAAGCTTCCTCACACCAAGCTGAGAAGGCCTATGGCATAAATAAAGACACACTGAGATAAAATATTCTTTCCCATCACCCTCGAATAAACCTACTCATAAAGAAAAGACACAAAACAAGGCACAATAAAAAAAGAATTTCAACAAGAAACCAAGGTTTATTAAGTTGCTCTTATCAATGATTTAAAAAAAAAAAAGCGAACATAAAGTGATATTTTTTTAAAAAGGCATACAAATGGGTCAGTACCCAGCAATCCCACTACTGGGAAAAAAACCAGTCAATCAATTGATTGATCAGTAATTATTCCAAGAAGACACATGCATGTTCACTGCAGAGCGATTCACAATAGCAAAGAAATGGAATCAACCAAGATACCCACCAATGGTGGAATGGATAAAGAAAATGTGGTACATATACACCACAGAATACTATGCAGCCATAAAAAAGAATTAAATCATGTCCTCTGTGGCAACATGGATACAACTGGAGGCCATTATTCTAACTGAACTAACACAGGAACAGAAAACAAAATACTATTATGTTCCCACTTGTAAGTGGGAGCTAAACACTGAACACACATGAGCACACAGATGGGAACAATAAACACTGGGGACTGCTTGACTGGGGAGGTAGAAGGGGGTGTGGGGTGGATGGCTACCTATTGGTACTATGCTTACTACCTTGGTGACAGGATCATTCCTACGCCAAGCCTCAGTGACACCAATTTACCCATGTAACAAACCTACATATGTACCCCCTGAACTTAAAATAAAAGTAGAAAAAAATGGGTCAGTAAACTTAGAGGAAAAAACGCTCAGCTTCTTTAGTGAGAGAAAAAAAAAATACAGCATCAGCATTCAGAGAAATGGGCATCCATCATCACATTCACAGTAGAGGCCTTTTTCTGGAGGGCAGTTTGGCAGTATGTTTCAAAAGCCTTGAAAATGTTTTCACTCCTTGATCCAGTAATCCCACTTCTAGGAATGAGAGACAGTATTAAGGAGGAATATCAGTTATCTCTTGTATAGATAGGAGGAAAAATGTACGTTTGTAAATGCACACCAAAAAAAAAAAAAAAAAAAAAAAAAGAATGGTAACTATGGGCTTGACTGCTGAAAGTTACTATACAACCTCCAGTAGCACTTTTTAAACAACATCCTTTTGTGAAATGGTACAATCACACGGAAAACATCAATCTGGCTTACATCAACATTAGCTTATTCGATAGGATATAAGAATAATGTTTTCACAGATGACTGCAATTAGTTTCAAAACCAATAAAAAAAGGTTCTCTAACTTTATCCTGTAATCAAGGCTGACGTTAACATAAACATAGAAAACCTAACACAGTTTACATACTCAGTTGAGTGGAAACACAATCTAAGTACTCTCAGGAGTAGATATAAGGAAGGAAATGTGGTGCCATCTTTTGAAACTCTACAGGTACTCAACAACTTAGGATATACTTTAGAAGAGATACATGGATAAGGATATTCACTACAGTTTGGAATTTTAAAAAACTGACAATAAACTGCCTATCAATCAACTAACAAAATGTCTAAAGAAATATGGCACACCCATCGTAGGAAATTCTACACAGAAGTTAAACTGACCAAAAATCTACATCTTCTAATAGGACAAAGTAAAAACATAGATAATTGAATGAGGAAAGGATGTTTCAAAGCTACAGATATTTATATACACATGACATGTATTTTCTACATAAAACTATGTATGTACATAAATATATTTAAAATTTTATATAAATGCACTGTTTAAACATTTTTAAGCAACACTGTATGTATGTATCATTATATATGTGTATGTGTGTATCCATGCTTATGAATGTACGTATGTAATTTGGAGGGAAGTGAAAGGAATTAAAATTTAAAAAAGCCTCATTCTTGAAAGAAATAATTTTAAAACTATGTCTTTTAAGTATCTTTTAATTTATAAGTTCCCTCTTGATCCTTTTTTATTCCCTATAATTATGGAAAAACTCAAGGCATTTGACCTAAAGAGGTTCCAGTAGAATGACTGCAAAATCATGGGGCCCTTCAATGCAGACCTTTTGCTTCCGTATTTCCTGTAAATTGGTAGCTGGACGCAACAACTTAATTAATCTCACGTTCAGTCCTTTTGGTAAGACTACAGGTGGTGGTGTGTTATTTTATCAGAAAGCATATAATACCTGTCTCTCTTTTTGTAAAGTTAGCAGCTCTTGATATTCAATGCCTAAACTAATTCATTCACTGGGATTTGCAAAAATTGTGACAAACTAATTCTATATTTATTTTTCATTAATGCAATGGAATACATGTATAAAGAGATACTTCACCTACTATTTGGTTATCTGTTGGTATGGTTCACACAGGTGAAACAGGAAAAATGCCCTTATTTACTAGTTTTCAAGACAGATTTGAAAAATTGGCTCCCTGCCATCTCCTAAGGTGATCAGTTAGGTTTCTATACAGCATTCAATGCAATCTCTATCAAAATTCCATCAGGCACTTTTCCCCCACAGAAACTGACAAGCTGATCCTAATATCCACACGGAATTGCGAGGAACACAGAATAGCCAGAAATAATCTTGAAAATGAACAACAAAGTACAGGGCTCACACCTCCTGATTTTGAAACTTACTACAAAGCTACATTAATCAAGACTATGGTACTGGAATAAATATAGATATATAGATCAATGGAATTGAATAAAGAGTCCAGAAATAGATCCTGACATTTACAGTCAATTGATTTTGGACATGTGTGTGCCAAGGGAGAAAGAATAGTTTTTTTTAACAAATGATATTGGGACAACTGCATGCAAAACAATGAAATTAGATCCTTTCCTTACACTAGGTGCAAAAATTAACACAAAATTAACCAAAACTTAAATATGAGTTACAGTTAGAAAACATAAGTGTAAATCTTTGTGACCTTAGGATTAGGAAATCGTATCTTGGATATGACATTAAAAGCATCAGCAACCAAAGAAAAAACATAAATTGGACTCATCAAAACAAAACAAAACAAAACAAACAAAAAAATACTTTTGTTCATCAAAAGCCACTATCAAGAAACCGAAAAGATGACCCAAAGGGGCCAGGTGCGGTGGCTCACGCCTGTAATCCCAGCCTTTCGGGAGGCCAAGGTGGGCAGATCACGAGGTCAGGAGTTCGAGACTAGCCTTACTAATATAGTCAAACCCCGTCTCTACTCAAAATACAAAAATTAGCCGGGTGTGGTGGTGGGCACCTGTAGTCCCAACTACTTGGGAGGCTGAGGCAGAGAATCGTTTGAAGCCGGGAAGTGGAGGTTGCAGTGAGTCGAGACCAGGCCACTGTACTCCAGCCTGGGTGACACAGCGAGACTCAGTCTCCAAAAAAAAAAAAAAAGACAAACCAAACAATGAGGAGGAAAATATTACAAATAATATATTTCATAAGGGTCTACTGTCCAGAATACATCTTATAGCTCAACAAGAAGATGAGTCAATTTAAAAATGGGCAAAAGATTTAAACATTTTCCCAAAGAAGATATACAAACAGCCAATAAGCACATGGAAAGATGTTTAATATCATTAATCATTACATAAATGCAAATCAAACCCATAATGAGATACTACTTCACATCCAACATGAGGACCATAATAAAAAAAAGACTGATAGGTGCGGTCAAGAATGTGGAAAAATGGGAACTCTCATACATTACTGATGGGAATGAAAATGGTACATTCCCTCTGGAAAACAGTTTGAAGGTTCCTCAAAAGGTTACATGAAGTATCTTAAGACCCAGCAATTTCACTCAAGAGGGAGAAATGATGCTAATGGATATGGAATTTCTTTCTGGGATGATGAAAACCTTCTGAAATTAGTTAGTGGTGGTAGGTGCACAACTCTGCGCACATAACCATATACTTTAAAAGAGTAAATTTTACACTATATGAGTACCTTCAAATTATTATAAAAATTATCATGATAAATTGATGGATTATACATAGCTGGTGATAAAATCTATTGAAAAAATCTTTTCTGAAGCTGAAATTGACATATCTCTAGCCAATGGGAATCTCTTAAAGTTTCTGAGTTCCCTTATACTTGTACCTTTAAGAAAACCTTTTATAAAAATACAGTTACCAAAACTAAAGTCTATTCTCTATTATAGGTTGAGCATCCCTAATCTGAAAATCCAAAATCCAAAATGCTTCAATTTTCAAAACTTTTTGAGCACCAATATATCACAAGTGAAAAATTCCACATCTGACCTTATGTGATGGGTTGCAGTCAAAACTCTGTTTCATGCACAAAATTATTAAAAATAGTGTATATAAAGTCCTTCAGGCTATGTGTATAATGTGTATATGAAACAAATTTCATCCCATCCCAACATATCTCATTATGTATATGCAAATATCCCCAAATCTGAAAAATTCCAAAATCCGAAACGCTTCTGGTCCCAAGTGCTTTGGATAAAGGATGCTCAACCTGTAATTATTCAAAAAAGAGAAACCTTGGGTTCATTACAATTATTATTTGAGAAAGTACTTCCAAGTAGCTTTCAGGGCCATCATTACATTACACAGCAATATTCATCTGTATTTCTTGTTATCTAAAGGTTTATCTCAGCCTATTTCCAATTTTTTGTAACACTGAAAACTTCATATAAAACCAGTTTGCCAATAAAGTAGAATGTAGAAAACTAAGGCCTCCCTAAGGATGGTCCAAGTCTAACTTACCTAACACTTATACTAAAAAGAATTACAAAGTGTGATGAGGGTTAGGGATGAAGGAGGAAACATATTTTTAAATGATTATAGTAAGAACATTCTAAACACATTTCCTCATCCTTTTTTATGTTTTTCAGGCCACTACCTTTGACATAAAACTTTACACTGCCCTTAATCTTGGTTAACAATATCAGCAATATTATTTTACTCACTACTATGACTTACATATAGGAATGTGACTAAATTACTACTTCATTCCTGTTAGATAATTTCCAGATATCTTTCTTTAGAAACAATTTTCTGATTATGGAAATGATGCAGATTCCTGAATCTATTAGAAAATCCAAAATAACTAAAATTAAGGCCAAAAACTAAGTATTTAATAAAATATTTAGTACAAGGTTCTTAAATCAATACCAGACAGTTGAACAAATATTATTAGTGTGCAAATATCTCCCTATCTACCCCTCAAATACTTATTATTTCAGTAGTAAATTTAAAAGAAATATTTGGTACCACATATTGTTCCATGCAAGCCAATATACTTCATTTTAAGAAAAACAGCAACACATTAACATAAAAGGAGCAGTGAGGCTTAATATGAATTCTTGAAACAGATGAGGATTAACATGTGTTGAGGAATGGAGGCCAGTATTACCCTGTTATCAAAACCAGAAAGGACACAGCAAAATAATAAAACTATAGGCCAATACCACTAATGAACATAGATGTAAAAACCTAAAGAAAATACTAGCAAATCGAACCCGACAGCACCATCAAAAATATAATACCCCATGATCCAGTGGGATTTATCCTGAGGAGGCAAGGATAGTTCAACATACACAAATCAATAAATGTGATACATCACATAAACAGAAATAAGGTCAAAGGCCTTATTTCAACAGACTCACCTCAACAGACTCAGAAAAAACATTCAATAAAATTCAGCATCCCTTCATAATAAAATGTCCATGACAAACTAGGCTTTGAGAAACATATCTCAACAAAAAAAAGACCATATATAACACACCCACAGTCAACATTATAGTTAATGGGGAAAAGTTAAAAGCATTCCCTCTAAGAACTGGAACAATACCGGAATACCCACTTTCACCACTCTTATTCAACGCGATACCAGAAGACTTGTCACAGCAATTAGGCAAGAGGAAAAAACAAAAGGCATCCAAATTAGAAAAGAGGAAGAAGTGAAATTATTCCTGTTTGCTGATGACATCATCTTTTATCTAAAAAACTCTAAAGACTCCACCGGCCGGGCGCAGTGGCTCACGCCTCTAATCCCAGCACTTTGGGAGGCCGAGGCGGGAGGATCACGAGGTCAGGAGATCGAGACCATCCAGGCTAACACAGTGAAAACCCGTCTCTACTAAAAATACAAAAAATTTAGCTGGGCATGGTGGCAGGCGTCTGTAGTCCCAGCTACTCGGGAGGCTGAGGCAGGAGAATGGTGTGAACCCGGGAGGCGGAGCTTGCAGTGAGCCAAGATCGCGCCACTGCGCTCCAGCCTGGGCGACAGAGTGAGACTCCGTCTCAAAAAACAAACAAACAAAAAACAAACTCTAAAGACTCCACCAAAAAAACTCTCAGATTTGGTAAATGAATTCAGTAAAGTTTCAGGATACGAAATCAATGTACAGAAATCAGTAGTGTTCCTATCCACCAATAATGATCTGGCCAAACACCCAATCAAGAAGGCAATCCCATTTACAATAACTACAAAATAAAATAAAATAATAAAATACCTACGAATATATTCAACCAAGGAGGTAAAAGATCTCTACAAGGAAAACTACAAAACAGTGATGAAATACATTGTAGATGACACAAACAAATGGAAAAACACCCATGCTCATGGATCAGAAGAATGAATATAGTTAAAATGACCACGTTGCCCAAAGCAATCTGGAAGTTCAATGTAATACTACAATAAAATACTAATATCATTTTTCACAGAAGCAGAAAAAAAAATCCTAAAGTTCATATGGAACCAAAAAAGAGCCCAAATAGCTTAGCCAAAGCACTTCAGTGAAATAACTCAGACACAGAAAGACAAATACTGCATGCTCTCACTTGCAAGCAGGAGCTAAATAATGTGTACACATGGAGGCAGAGTGTGGAATGATGGACAATGCAGACTTGCAGGGGTGGAGGGGTGGGAGGGGTGGATGATAGGAGGCTGTCTGGTGGGTACCACGTGCATTGCTTTAGTGATGGATGCCCTGGAAGCCCTCATTTCACCACAATACAGTTTATTAATGTAGCAAACCTGCACTTGTACCCCACGATTATATACAAATAAAACAAATGCATGAAAACCATAACAAATGTAAGATGAGAAGAATTACAAAACGAGTGATAACAATAAATGTAACTGTATTATATCTGCATTTCAAGTCTATCAAGGAAACACTGATTGCTGCATTCCTGAGGAAGACAAAAAACTTCCAAATTTCTCAACCAGATTATAGAACCTGAAAACACAAGAAACGACGCTCATTTTGAATATGAATTCAAATGTTTTGGAAGGAAAAAAAGCAAACTGAATCCAACACTATGATGTGAAATGTATCCCAACAATAAGGATGGCTCAATTTTAAGACATTCATGTCTTCATGTATTTTACCATGATCATCTCAATGAACGCTCTAAGAACCACCTAAGAATCTCAAAATTTTAAACCCATTCCTGATTTTAGGAGAAGAAAAACTCTTAGCAATACAGAAATACAAATAAACTTTTAAAGCATCTACCAGCAATCATATTTAATGGTGAAACAGGCATTCTTAAAGTGGCAATCAAGGCAGTATCATCTTACTCAACACTTCTCTAGCGTTTCTAACCAATATGCTAAAAACAAAACAAAACAAAAACAAGAAGTGTAATTGCCTAAAAGTGCAAACCAGAAAACTGTAAAAGAATTGTAAGGAGATGTGAGCATTATTTCTGAAGAAGTGTTCACAACTTTAACCATTTTCTCAAAGGGATCTGGGAAAATTACTTTAAATAAGTCTGCAGGGTAAGGAGGAATGCTGTCCGTGTCAGAGAACGATGCAGTCTAACCACTGTTAGATTTGTCTTAACAGTGACAGTGAAGTGGAAGGGAAAATGTGTATTTTGTGTACAGAAATGTTAATTTTAGGCCTGGGACAGGAGCTCATGCCTGTAATCCCCAGCACTTTGGAAGGCTGAGGAAAGAAGATCAGGTGAGCCCAGGAGTTCAGGACCATTTTTGAGACTCTGCCTCTACAAAAAATTTTAAAAATTAGCTGGATGTGGTGATGTGTGCCTACAGTTTCAGCTACTGGGGAGGCCGAGGGTAGGAGAACTGCTTGAGCCCGGGAGGTTGAGGCTGCAGTGAGCCATGATCACACCACTGCCCTCCAGCCTAGGCAACAGAGTGAGACCCTGTCTCAAAATAAAGTAAGTAAAATTTGTAAAATCTCCATCTCGTAAAATACTTAGAAAACTGTGTCATAGTCTGTGTCATGAACTTTCAAAAACAGTTCCAAAATCAAAATATTACAGTATCTCCATTCGAAAACTAGGTTTTCTGAAAGTCAAAAGTAGGATATTTTAAATTCTAAAATTTATCTAATAGCAAATATTGTATCTCATGAATCCAGTACACATCATCAATTATAAGATGCCCCAGTAATTATATTTACCCCCAAAAAAGAAAAAAAAACCACTGCCAAATAAATTGTGAAGTACATCAATTGCAAATAATTCCAAATTTGAGACAGGTTAAAAGTAGAGGAAAGTACATTTTAAGATCAATAAAATACATTAATTTAAAGCCACAGACATTTACTACATTTCTTCTCCAAAATCCTCACTTTCACTTTTGCAATCTTTAACCACTAAAAAATTATCCTTTCAAGAGCAAAACTATATTCTTGGTTTCAAGGTTAAAATAAATGGCCTCTGTCAGGGAAAAAGAGCAGTCATTAAATTGTATTGCTCGGGCAGGCAAGAGCCACAGCAAGCAGTAAAAGTGCACAAACTGACAACACTATAATTAAAATAGGGCTGGTGGGGGCCCAAACAACACAGATACTTTTAGGGTAAGGAAGACAATGAAATCTATCCTATGCAAAGAGTCATACTGGGTTAGGAATGAATCTCTCTGTGGCAGAAGGCCCCGGTGTAGGTGCTTGTCTTTAACTTACTTAAATAGAGTACAAAGAACACCTTGCTCACAACAGGTAGCTCAAGAGCCAAGAGCTTTTCTGTTCTCCAGCTAAAGATTATAATCTTATTCCCACTGCTCAGTCTGCTCCCATGTATAGGAAAAATTATGTGAATCAGTGTGATTTCCACATTACACTGACTTCATTTTTCTACTTGTACATTTCAAATGAGCTAACCACAATACAGAAATGCATACGAAACACTATTCTTTTTGTTCTTGACAACGGTTTAATATGAAGCTGCAGGAATAGAAACAGAAGAATCCTATAACAATTGATATTAGATTGCTTGTTTTCCTGAACACGACAAAAGCTGCTACAGGACCAACTTAGAGCCACATCCAGACAAACTGTTTTCAAATGGGGTTAACTATGCTCTTTGTAAAACACCTGCTACTTTGTGATAGGAACTACAGAATGATTTTCCCTCATCCATCAGTGTGTTAATAAAATTAGCTATTATATACATTAACTGGGAGCTGGAATGAAGATTTTAGGTACAATTAAACTATTGCCTGTGGTTAAACAATTTCTCCCAACTAGTCAGCTCTCCATATCTGTGAGTTCCATATCTACAGATTCAAACACCTGCAGATGGAAAACATTTGGGGAAAAAAATACAACAAAAATAATACAAATAAAGAACAATGCAGTGTAACAACTATTTACGTAGCATTTACATAGAATTAGGTATTATAAGTAATTCAGAGATGATTTAAAATACAGGAGGATGTGCACGGGTTATATGCAAATACTATGTCTTCTATGACTTGGGCATCAGCATCCACTGATTTTGGTATCCTGAACCCAATCCCCTGTGGATACAGGAAGATGACTATTCATTCACTTGCTTGGAATAAAAAAAGCATTAAAAATCCCCGAAACCACTGACAGCAATCGCCAAAAGGTTAAGGGCCAAGAAGAACAGAATTACTAATTCAAGCTTTTTAAGGAAGGAAATGTCATATACCAAGATAGGATTTCCACATACCAAACCATCTTGAACATACCAAAAAATAAAAAATAAAAATGTGTTCAACCTTCATATGATAAAGCTATACATGTGAAAAATGGTATACCTTACCAATACTGGGACTTACTCCTTCCCCCAGAAGTAAAGCCTGGATTAGGGAAAGGGCGTGGGAGGAAGGGGGAAGCAAAATACAATACGAACAAAATTGTGTTGTTATGATTTTATAGGAAGATATAAATTTCCAAAACTGGCCATGACTGAATGAGATAAAGCCCTGAAACAATAATCATGAGAAAGGACAACATTCTAAAAAAAAATTCCTCAGAAATGACAAAAAAACTAGAAACCAATCTCACTTATGAATGTAAATACAAAGTTCCAAAACAAAACATTAGCAAAAGAGCTCAGAACATCAAAATATTACAACCCAAGTAGAATACATTCCAAAAATGTCAGAATAGGTAAATATCAAAAAAGCATTTCATGTAACTGACCTCATTAACAAGTCAGAAGGAAAAAAAATTAATGAATACCAAATACTCAACAAACACATCCATTATGATGAAAAACAACCACTATCACCTCTTGGAGTAAAACAGTACAACTGGACAGCTTCCTACTATAAACCAAACTAAAACCGACATTACAATTAATGGTGAAATATACTCACTAAAACTGAGAACAAAACTTTTCTATGGCAGCTATAGTAAGTTACCAAACATAGTGGCTTAAAACAACCCACATTTTTGTAGTTCTGTAGTTGAGAAGTCCAAAATGTGTCTGAGGAGGCTCTACAGAAGAATCTCTTTTCTTGCCTTTTCCAGTTTCTGGGGACTGTCTATATACATTGCTTGGCAGGGGGCCCACTTCCTCCATCTTCAAAGCCACCAATGTCAGGCCAAGTCCTTCTCATGCTGTCATCTCTCGGATTCTGTTTTCCAATTCCTTCTTCCAAGGAAACTTTGGGTCCACCCAAATAATTTAGGATAATCTCCCTATCTTAAAATCAGTTTATTAAAAACCTTATTTCCATTTGTGACGTTAATTTCCTTTTGCCATGTATTCACAGGTTCAAGGGGCTATCTATAGGGCACAGACATCTTTGAGGGGGGCAGAAGGGTAGGCAGGGAGGGCATTATTCTGACTATTACAGTATGCTCCTGAAAAGTAAACAAAGAAATCCATGACGTAAAGGGTCAAATGATTTCTACGGATTCTTCTAAGATGGCATTTAAAAAAATCAGTATATACTCTTGATTTTAAAAATAACTCTTAATTATGTAAGATATTTTCTTTTTCTTTTGAGACAGGATCTCACTCTGTTACCAAGGCTGGAGTGCAGTGGCGTGATCTCGGCTCACTGCAACCTCCCCTTCCCAGGCTCAAGAAATCCTCCAGCCTCAGCCTCCCAAGTAGCTGGGACCACAGGCACAAGCCACCATGCCCAGCTAATTTTTGTATTTTTTGTGGAGACAGGGTTTCACCACATTGCGCAGGCTGGTCTGGAACTCCTGAGCTCAAAGCGATACACCTGCCTCAGCCTCCCAAAGTGTTAGGATTACAGGCATGAGCCTTGATTTATAGTATCTTTCTATTCACCAAAAAGTCAACCATTAATCTGATTAATGGGGAAACACATCATTTGCATTAAAGTCAGAAATAAGCATATCATTATAACTACTGCTAACACTTTTCAGGAGATACAAGAAAAAAAACTATGAGATAAAAAAATTAGAAGGACAAGGATAAAATTACCACAATTTACAGATCACCTGATGGTAAATCCAGAAAATCCAAGAGAAATGTAAAAAATTAATAAATAAATAAATAAAAATAAAGAACGATATACCAACAATAAACAATAAAAGATTTCAGTTAGGTATCCAGGTAGAAAATGAATATATAGATATCGATTGCTTTCATTTAACTAAGTATGCTGGAAATTCTGTTGGACTGCTTTCAAGTAGGACCTGCCACCTGTTTTTGTAATGAAGTTGTAGTGGAACACAGCCACACTCATTCTCATTTCCATGTATGATGTATGGCTGCTTTCTAGCTGCCTCTGTGATGCGGTGGCGGAGCTGGGAAGCAGACGGCCCACAGAGGCTAAAATATTCACTATCTGGTCCTTTACGCAAAGTTTGCTCTTTGCTCTTTACGCAAAGTTTGTCCTTCACGCAAAGTCTGCTCTTTACGCAAAGTTACACAAACTTTACGCAAAGTTAAATCTCTGATTTAAACTAATAATAAGCAATTAGATGGTACAAGGAAATAGAAGGCCATATCTGAAATAGAAACAAAAAAGATAAAATGCCCAGGAATAAAACCAAAGTATCCAAATGTCCGGCTTTACCAAATGAAAAGAAGACAGACCACGTTCTTGGCAGAAAGAATCAAGTCAAAGATATCATCTCCTTCCTAAGTTTATCTATACTTTTATCTTTAACATAATCCCAATAAAAAGGCCAACAGAAAATTTATTCATTTATTCAAATATTTATGCAGGAATTAGAAGAGGTAACTGAAATTCTTGTAAAAAACCAGCAAGAAAAAAAGAAAGTCTATAGATAAGGAGTAAGTGTGCACAATCTTCAACAAATTTTAAAATCTATTATAAAACCTTGATTAATATATGGTATTACTGGTACAAGAACAGAAAGATTAGTGAAACAAAGATGAAAATCGGCATATAAATAGAAATTTGGTACTATTTTTAATAAAGTTTATATCTTCAACCAATATCATTGGTTAAAAGATTATTCAATAAATAGCAAGGGGGAAAATGGGTAGCTACAACAAAAATATCCTGAAGATTTTTTTAAATGAGACTATAACACAAGATTCTTCTAGAGAAATTCTTTTATAACTATAACAAAGACCTATATAGCTGTAACATAATACTGAGAAGCCATTAAAAAAAGACTGATAAATTTGACTAGAAGTCAAAACGTTAAAAAATACGAAAAAAAATTGTAACTTAAATCCAAAGGACTAATTTCACAAACACATTTAAAAACTTCTTAGTCCCTAAGAAAAAGATACAAAACCCTCCAGCCCTCTCTCTAATGCATGGAACAAGAACAAGCAAACAATTTAGAGAAAAAAAAAAATCAAGTAATTCTTACATATACAAAAATATGTTTATCTACTACTCCCAAGAGGATAAATGTAAATTAAAGCTACGCTGATATACTACTTCTCACATTATCAGATTGTCAAATATCCAAGTTTGATAACATACTATATACTGATGAGGACATAGGAAAAACAGGCACTTTCATACGAATCTGTGGAGTGTACACTGGTACTACCTCTATAAAAGGACAATTTCACAACTTCTATCAAAATTATGAATACATAGAACCTCTGACCTGATAATTCTACTTTTAGGAATTTATCCTATAGAAATATTGCCATGTTTACAATCGAAGTGTGTAGGCAGTTATTTATTGTAGTATTGTTTGTAAAACAAATAATTAAAAACATCCATCACTATATCCAGTAACAATGAACTTGTCAAATAAATCATTCTTATTCAAATAAGAGAATATCACAAGTCATAAAATGATGAGAAAGGTCTTCAGGTATGGAAATAGAAAAAACTCCAGAATATAATGTTAAGTGGTGAAAACAAGTCCAGAATAGTATAGACTACACTCCTGTGTGTGTGGCGGGGTGGGGGTAGTTGGGGGGATAGTAAGAGGAAGAGAAAATACACATATTTGCTTATATACGGAGAAACCAGGATGCATAGGAAACAGATAACTTTAGTTGCTTGACGAGAGGAGATTTACCCCTGGGGGAAAGAGGCAAGAGGGAGACCTTTTCATCTTCATACAGCTTTTAAATTTCAAGCCATGTGAATGTATTATTCATTCACAAAATTACCTTTAGAATGAAAAAAATTTTAATGAGTTGATAAAACAATCATTACAGGAGATACTGGTACACAGCTAGAAAATCCAAGCAAATCCACTAAAAAAATTACTAGAAGTAATTTAGTATGTTAACTGATTTTAATTAATAATTAGTAAAAATCAGATTTCTCATATTTAAAAGGCAAATTAAAACAAATATGACTTGGGCCACCACTAAATGATGTTGAGAATCTGAGCATGAATCTTACTTCATGCAAAGCGAGAGATATACTTCGTAAAAAAAGGCAGAGTGAAAGCATATGAATGAAAAGAAAAGGTATATAAACTGTAAGCATAAGAAAGCTAAAGTGCCTATATTAACATATGATAAAACAGACTTCAAGACAGAGTATTTATCTAAAGAAAAAGAGATTTCAAAATGCTAAAAATTTAATTCACCAGGAAGTTATAAGAACCATAAATGTGTGTACTTAATAACAGGGCCTTAAAATACATAAGCAAAACCAACAGAAACTAAAGGGAGAAACAGACAATTCTACAATTTTAGTAAGAGATTTAAACTCCTTGATTAGCAACTGATAGAACTATACAAATATAAGACAAATTGAACAAAGTATCAACTGTCTTGACCTAATTAACATTTATGATAAACAACACTTAACAACTGAAGAAAATACATCACCTTCTGTGAATATGGTACATTTGCCAATACAGACCATATGCTAGGCCACAAAACAAGTCACAAATTTAAAAGGATTGAAATCACAACCAATCCATTCTCTAACCACAATGGAATTAACTGAGAAACAAGGTATCTAGTAAAATTCCTAATATTTGAACATTAAACAACACACTTCTAAAAATCTCATGGTTCAAAGAACTCAAGAAGGAAATCAGAAACAATTCAGAATGGAGTAATAATGAAGCTAAATAGGACTATGTAGTAAAGAATTTAACCTTGCTTTTAGCTCCCTCCAAACCCTTGGAATGTCCTGATTGAATTTCCCTGGTTGGAATACTCAGTGCTTATTGTCACACATTGTTACCAGAAGGGTTAACATCATCCATGACTCCAGAGAAGACAAATGGAAACTCCTCATTTGGAAATTTTCTGGACTTTTATCTCTCCCATGGCTGATTTTAATCTGTATCCTTTCAAGTAATAAACCATAACTGTGAGTATAATAGCTTTCAGTGAGTTCTGTGAGTCCTTCCAGTAAATTACTGAACCTGAGGGTTCTGAACTATTAACAAACTTTACAAGTACTTAAAAGGAAATCTGTAGCTTTAACTGCTTACATTAAAAATGAAAGTTTAAAATCACTGACCTAAGGATCCACCTTGAGAAGCTATAAAAAAAAAAAAAGACTAAGTAAAGTAAACCTGAGGGGAAGAGAAGGAAGGAAATAATAAAAGGCAGAAATCAATGAAACAGAAAACAAAGAATTGAGTATATTAACAAAGCCAAATAATCATAAAAACAGATAAACCCTATTCTAGACAGATCAAGGAAAGAGAGAATATAATTACCAATAATAAAAAATGCAAGAGAGGTTATCACTGAAAAAACCTATAGATCTTATAAAGATAATAAAAGATAATTATAAAAAACTTTAGGCAAACTAATCCAATAGGTTAGATGAAATCAAGAAATTCCCCAAAAAACACATCTTACCACACACCATATTCTGACACAATATAAAACAGTAAATGTGAGTGGCCTCTCAAATTTATATATATATATATAAGTCTTTATAAGAAATATATTTTCTTTAATATATATTAAAGAATTCAATCTGTTACCAAAATTCTTCCCACTGAGAAAACTCCAGGCCCAAATACACTAAATTCTACCAAGCATTTAAGAAAGAAACAATATCAATTTTACATAATTCTTTCAATAAATAGAGTGAACATCTCCCAACTATGAGATCAGCATAACCTTAATACCAAAACCTGACAAAGACATTACGAAAAAAGAAAATGACACAAATATCCTTCATGAACACAAATGCAAGAATCCTTTTTAAAATACAGCAAATTGAATATGAAAAGGATGCTGTAAAGGATAATACATCATGACCAAATATGATTTATTTCAACAAGGCAAGGTTAGTTTAACATCTAAAAAATAAATTAATGTAATTCTCTATATTTAACAGAATGAAGGAGAAAAATTATATAATTATTTCAACAGACATATAAAATATGTGATCCAATTGAATACCAATTCATAAAACTCTCAGCAAACTAAAAATCCAGAGGAACGATCTAAATCTGATAAAGGGCATTTATGAAAACCCTACAGCTAACAGATGCACAAAGAAGAGCTGGTACCATTTCTACCGAAACTATTCCAAAAAAATTAAAGAGGCTGAACTCCTCTCCAACTCATTCTATGAGGCCAGCATCATCCTGATACCAAAACCTGGCAGAGACACAACAAAAAAAGAAAACTTCAGGCCCATATCTTGATGAACATTGATGCAAAAATCCTCAACAAAATACTTAAAAACTGAATCCTGTAGCACATTAAAAAGCTAAACCGCCACAATCAAGTAGGCTTCATCCCGGGATGCAAGGCTGGTTCAATACACGCCAATCAATAAATGTGATTCATCACATAAACAGAACTAAATAAATGCAAATCAAACACACAATGAGATACCATCTCCCACCTGTCAGAGTGGTTATTATTAAAAAGTCAAAAAAACAGATGCTGGTGAGGTTATGGAGAAAAGGGAATACTTATACACTGTTGTTGGGAGTACAAATGGGTTCAACCATTGTAGAAAGTAGTATGGTGATTCCTCGAAGAGCTAAAAGCAGAACTACCATTTGACCCAGCAATCCCATTACTGGTTATATACCTAGAGGAATATAAATCATTCTACCACAAAGACACATGTGCACAAACGTTCACTGCAGCACTACTCACAATAGCAAAGACATGGACATCAATGACAGACTGGCTAAAAAAAATGTGGTACATATACACCATGGGATACCATGCAGCCCTGAAAAAGAACACGATCATGTCTTTTGAGGGAAGATGGATGTTGCTAGAGGCTATTATCCTTAGCAAACTAACACAGGAACAGAAAACCAAATACTGAATGTTCTCACTTATAAGTGGGAACTAAACGATGAGAACTGATGAACACAAGAGAACAACAGACACTGGGATCTACTTGAGGGTGGAGAGTGGGAGGAGGGAGAGGAGCAGAAAAGGTAACTACTGGGTACTGGGCTTAATACTTGGGTGATGTAATAATCTGTTCACCTATGTAACAAAGCTTCACGTGTACCCCTGAACCTAAAAGTTTTAAAAAACAAACAAAAAACCCTACCGCTAATGCACACAATGGTGATATGTTCAACATTAAGATGGAGGAAAGGATGCTTACTTGCCTCACTTGTTTTCAACATTATGCTGGAGGCCCTAATTGTGGCTGGAAGGCAGGCAAAAGAAAGTAAAAGTGTAACAGCCAGTAAAGATTAAGTAAAACTGTCTCTATTTGCAAATGACATGACTGTTCGCACTGAAAACCCTAAGGAATTTACAAGACTACAGGCAGAGTTAGTTTCTTCTAAGGGCTGTGAGGAAGAATCTGTTCCGTGCCTCTCTTCCTGACTTCCAGCGGCTTGCTGGCAGTCTTCCGCACTCCTTGGCTTACAGATGCATCACTCTGATCTCTGCCTTCATCTTCACATGGCATTCTTGCCGTGTCATGTCTCTTTGACCAAATTCTTCCTTTTTATAAGCACACCAGTTATACTGGAATAGCCCATCCCAATAATCTCATTTTAATTTGACTATCTCTGTAAAGACCTTATCTCCAAATAAGGTCATATTCTGAGATATTAGGGGCTAGGACTCCAACATATCTTTTTTTGTGAGAGACAGAATTCAACCCAAAACACTTAACAAAAGAAGATTTACTCATGTAAAGCATGAAATGATACTCAACATCACAAGTTATCAAAGAAATGCAAATAAAGCCACAATACCCACTAAATCACTGCATATCCGCTAAAATGGCCAAATTTGGGGAGAAAGAAGAGACAAAGACAAGCATTGGTGAAAATGTGGAGCGACTGGGACTCTCATCAACTGCCCAAATGTGAAAATAACCATTCTTATACCTAGGATATGAAAACAACCTCAAGACAGTTATCAAAGAGAAATAAAAATATATGTCCACACAAAAACTTGTACATGAAGATCCCTAACACCTTCATTCAAAATAGCCAAAAGCTGTTAACAATCTAAATGTCCATCAACAGATAGGAATAAACAAAGTGTTTTATATCCAGACACCAGAATACACCTCTTCAATAAGAAGAAAACTGCTGACACAAACAACCTCAATGAATCTCAAAAGCATTATTAGGAGCTTTTTTTTAAAAAGACACTAAAGAGTCTTACTGTATGAATCCATTTATATAAAATGTTTGAAAATGTAAAATAATTTATCGTGAGAAAGGCAGATTAGTGGTACCTGGTGGGGAGTGGAGGGCTGAATGAATACCAAGGAGCACAATCTTTTTGGAGTGAGGAAAATACTCTGTATCTCAACTATGGAAATGGTTTCACAGGGGTCTGCAGCTGTCAAAACTAATCAAACTGTACGCTTTACACAGACACAGCTCAATGAATGTAAATTATACTTCCGTAAAAATGATTAAACAAAATAGTACATATTTGTAAATCTGTTAGAAAACATCCCATTTCCAAAAGCATCAACAACAACAAAAATGAGAACTTGAATTAAATGTAAAGGGCCAATCTCTATGAAGAAAACTTCAAAATGCTACTGAAGTGAATAAAGCAACACTACTTAGTTATTCTTGGATAAAGGCTCATTATTTTAAGTTTGAATTTTCCAAGAAAATAATCTATAATAATGTTTTTGCAATCAAAATATCAATACAGTTTTATTTGGGTGAGTCAGAGTATGTGGCAGGGTACTAGTAATTATAATCTGAAAAAACTGGCATATGAGAAGAAAATTCTGAATTAAAAGTCATGAGAGGCAACTGGCTCTATCCAGTTCTCTCACAGAGAAGCAGTAGAAGGTCTCAATAATTAAAAGTTTGATAGCAGCACAAACAAAGAGAAACAAAGTGTTGAACAGACCACTGAGTCTACAATACAACCAAATGAATATGCAAATGTAATAGCTGTGATAAGAATAATATTTTAAATCAGTAGGGGAATGATGGATTATTGAATAAACAGTATTTGGTAAATGGCCATTTGGGGAAAAATATAAGGATTCTTATGGCATAACTTAAAAAAAAATACCTATTAGATCACAGACCTAAATATAAAGAACTGACCCAAACACTTAAACAAAATATGAATAAACTTGTTCCTACCGTTGGAATGGTGAAGTCTAAGTAAGAAATGATATTCAGGGCCAGGCGCGGTGGCTTTGGGAGGCCGAGGTGGGAGGATCATGAGGTCAGGAGATTGAGACCAGCCTCGCTAACACGGTGAAACCCCGTCTCTACTAAAAACACAAAAAGTAGCCGGGCGTGGTGGTGGGCGCCTGTAGTCCCAGCTACTCGGGAGGCTGAGGCAGGAGAATGGCGTGAACCCAGGAGGCGGAGCTTGTAGTGAGCCGAGACAGCGCCACTGCACTCTAGCCTGGGCGACAGAGCGAGACTCTGTCTCAAAAAAAAAGAAATGATACTCGGAAACAAAAAAGACTAATAAATTTGAATACATAAAATTTAAAACTTTTGTGTCACCAACTTAAAAAGAAAATGCCAACTAGTTTGGGGGGAGGGGTAGGAGGAGGGAGAGCTCAAGTACATTACAAAAGGGCCAGTTTTGAAATTTATAATAAAGTCTTACAAATCAATTTTTAAAAAACGAAAAAGAAAAATGAGCAAGACACACAGACTGGCAGTTCATTGTATAAAGAATTACAAATACTCAATAAACAATGAAAAGATGTTCATCCTCCCACTCAAGAAGAAATGCACATTAAAACAATGATCTATCACTTTTATCTGGGCATACCCACAAAACCACAAATGCCCAATAATACCTAGTTTTGATGAAGGTGTGGGAAAACAGAAACTCTAATACAGGTAAAAACATAAATGAAAGTAACTTTTTGCCAGCAATTTAACACTATCAAAATATTAAATACATATAACCTTTGACTCAGGAATTTTATTTTTGTGTGATAGCAGCGAAACTTGTTATTTACAAATGATATTACTATTTGTATACAAATACAATTAAAACTGGTATTATTCTAAAGCTTTAGTAATTAAGATAATGCGTAATGGCACAGGGTTAGACAGGCTGATGACTGGAACATAAGTAATAGTTCAGAAACAGACTCACATGTGGGAATGAAGGACATTATATATCATGGGGAAAATGGGAAGAATTTGTCAATAAATGTGACTGGGATAATTGAGTATCCATTAGAAAAAATGAAATGTGACTCCTGTATCATACCAAAACAAAAATTTCAGGCAGATTTGAGATCTCAATGTGAAAAGATTTAATATAAAACTTTTAGAAGACAATACTACATAGGAGATTATGACTTCTAGTATGTAAGGATAGTCAAAACAAGACAAGAAATGTGTAAACCTAAACAGAAAACACTGGTAATTTGACATTAAAATTACCAACTGATTCTATTCATCAGAAGATAACATAACGGTCAGTTAACAGAGTTACGAAAGAAAAAAAGAAAAGAAAAATAAAAAATGAACATATCCTAATGTGCTGAACCAAAAAGCCACAAGCCATAAAATCTCTAACAACTATATTCAACATTACCCAGTGGTTCAAAAATATACAAAATCAACAATTTATTGTTCAGGAATTGTTTTTTAAAAAAGCAAGGAATACCAAATATAGAATTCAGAATTATTACTGAGTTGGGAAGGAATGACAAAGAATCTGAGGAGAGCAAACAGGGGACTTCTAAGGAAACAGGTATTACTCTTTTATTATTTTTAATATTATGTAGCAATTCTTTATACCTACATATATTTTATACCTATTAGTTTGTATCTACTCAATATTGAATAAAGGCAAATTTTAAATGCCATGCAAATGACCAAGAAACCATACTCTGTCAAACTTTTGTATACCACTAGGGTTCACTGAACCCAATTCTAGTTTTTATGGGGCAGAGGGTGGTAATTAAAAGCAATTCTAAATATTTTAAAGATTGCTTTTCCAATATTGTTACTCTTTCTTAAGATATTTCATATAACAAAGAGAAAATTTACTTTTTTACATATGAATAAAATTCATTCTATCTGGAAATAAATCATCACTATTCCATCATCCTTCAGACACCAACTTGGTAAGTCTCTCCTTTTTTTTACTTAAGCTTTTGCTGAACACAGTTAAGAATTCAAAAATTTTAACTTTTGGCCTGCGTTGAAAGATTCCCAAGATTATTCCCAGATTCAATGATTTGCTGGCAGGACTTATGAGAGTGAGTCATATTCACAGATATGATTTATTACGACGAAAGGCTACAAAGCAAAAATCAGCAAAGAAAAAAGGCACATGGGGCAGTCTGGGGGAAACTGGGAGCTACTTTCCAGAATCCTCTCCCAATGGAGTCACATAAGATTTCCTGAATTCACCCACCAACAAGTTGTGACAATACATGTGAAATGCTGTCTACCATGAAAGACTGTTAGAGACTCAGGACCCAGGGTTTTCACTGTGGGCTGGTCACATAGGCACCTAGCACATGACAAAATTTCAGACTCCCAGAAGGAGGTATTCGGCAGAAATAGTATTTTGTATAAACAGTTTAGGCACAGTAAGCGACTTGATCAGCTAGTGGTAGGAATCCTTCTGAAATCTAAGTTTCCAGACACTAGTCAACAGCCAACCTTACAAGCTGGCCTTTTCAAAGAGAGCAGTTTAGGTTATGTTAACTTTTTTGTGAACACCACCATTAATGGCAAAGAGAAGAAAACTGACAGAGAGATATTTTACAACTACTAGCTGATCAAAATATGAATGAAAATAAAGATAGCAACACTGTAGATTAATGACAATGGCGAATTTAATTGTAGAAGTAACATCGGAGACAAGTCTTCACATGACAATATTCTAAATGAATTTTCTCAAATTCAAGAATAGATGAGTGAACAACTTAGGTTTAAAGGAAATGTAGCATTTTCATCCACTTAGTCATTAAACAGGACTTAATCATGCAATTTTTTGTGACAAGAACTTGGACCATCCCAGTATCCTAAGAGTATATGTGAGAGTATGCTCTCGTTTTTTATAGTGATACACCATAATTTGTCCGTAAGCTGACAACTGTTGAAGGTAGATAAGTACACAAAGGTGGATGAAAGGAAACAGATGATACAAAAATAAAGAATTAAATGGACTGATCATTCTAATTGGTGTTGATTAATCAGAAAATGAAATGCTTTCCAATTATGGATCAAGAACAATGAATGTCCTCCCTACTTCAAGATTATGAACCATCGAAGTTTGTAAACTATGTTTTGATTTCAAGTGAAAAAACAAAACCTATTAAAATTTGGAATCAGTATGTACAAAATGGATATATATTTCATGTTCATGTAGGGCAGCTGATGAGTGGTTATTTACATTCAAAGAATACCACACATTTTGGGTACAAACATCTTCACAAACAAATGTGTTATAAACATACAATGGAATAATACTCAACAATTAAAAGGAAGGAAATACTGATACAGGCAAGGACACAGATGAATCTCAAAATAATTTGAAAGGAGCCAGACTTAAAAATAGAACATATTTTATGGCTCCATTTATATAAAACTCTAGAAATGCAAACTAATCTATAATGACAAAAATCAAACCAGTAGTTGTCTGGGAGAGAAGAGAACAGGGAAGGACAGGAGGGAGGGACTGAAAAGCAGCTTTGGAAAATTTTTTCAAGTGATGGATACATTTACCATCTTGATTATAGTGATGGTTTCACAGGTGTACACAGATGTCAACACTTAAAGACGCTGTACTTTTTTAATATGTGTAGTTTATTATATGTGAATTATATCCCAGTAATGCTGATTTTAAAAATTGGGTTTGCTATGTTTAGATTCTAATTAAAATTTCTAACAAAGATTTTTCATTACTCCTTTATTCTTCTGTTATTTACAAACAACTTCAATTATTTAAAAATAAAAAGAACAGCAATGTAAGATAAAAAGTGACAAAGAATGATGAACAATCTTCTAGATACTGTGGGTTAAGTAACTGTCAGCTAAGAGAAGTGTTCGAGGCAGTCTGTATAGCAAATATCCAACACTTACAAAAACGATGAAAAGAGCATGATGAAATTTATAATCATCATAATTTACATTTCAAATTTGTGAAATATGTCAAATATGGATTGCTCTTTTCTCTAAAACCAATGAGGAAGCCTAAAAAAAGGCTTCTGCCAGGAGTTCCCAGTGGTTTGCTTATCACATCTCTTAATGGCTATGAACTTCAAGGGAAGGTTTCTTTTTTATGTACTTTATCTCCAGCAAGTGCCAAAGACAGCTTAAAATAGACTCATTTTCTTAAAAAACACAGCTATACTGTCAGAACAAACCCACTCTTGGACCGTAAGTCCAGGAAAACACAGTCAACTGCTTCATTCCTTAAAACGTACTATCAAACAAGTTATTATTTTCTACTTCTGCAAGACTAATAAGCAATCAGGAACTATAACTTCTCCTGCTGTCTGAGATGTTTTTACAGAGACCGTTCCCTATTGATGGATAGGCTATATTCAAAAAATCAGTAATTTTTGCTTGTTTGGAACAATTTAAAATAACAATGTAAATTATGACTAGGTTCCTAAAGCCAACCCATAAAAAGCCCACTTAACACAACATACCTTAGACCTATATTAATTCAAACACAGGTAGTCATCAAACACACACAGATGCATTTTGAAATTAAAACTCGGCCGGGTGCGATGGCTCACGCCTGTAAGCCCAGCACTTTGGGAAGCCGAGGCGGGCGGATCACCTGAGGTCGGGAATTCAAGTCCAGCCTGACCAACATGGAGAAACCCGTCTCTAGTAAAAATACAAAATTAGCCAGGCATGGTGGTGCATGACTGTAATCCCAGCTACTCCGGAAGGCTGAGGCAGGAGAATCGCTTGAACCCAGGAGGCAGAGGTTGCGGTGGGCCGAGATGCGCCACTGCACTCCAGCCTGGGCGACAAGAGTGACACTTGGACTCAAAAAAAAAGAAGAAAAAAAAAAGAAATTAAAACTCAGATTACCAAAACGTTCACTGTCCTCTTACCTATCCTCTATTCTCAAACACATGCTCAAGATGTTTCTTCTTTGGTAGTAGCAAATAGGCATAGGGTGGCCAAATTGAGAAGCAGAGGCTACAATGACTTTCTTAATCTGAAAATTCAAGTAATTTAAACATTGAATATTCTTAAACCACATCACCTTTACTTATTCACTTGGCAATCTCCCTTGATGATAGGATTTGTTCAAACCTAATTTACGAATGCTCAGTGAACTTTATAAATAAAATGTTTTACAAAAATGTGATATATCATCAAAGCCTAGATTCAAAACCTCTTTCACATGCTTGTCAACTTAAAGCCCTGGCTCTCCCTTTACTAATAAGCCCTGGCTGAATTATGTCCCCCGCCCTCCCCACCAAAATTCACATACTGAAGTCCTAACTTCTAGTACCTCAGAATGTATCTTTATTCGAAGACAAGGACTTCAAAAAGGTGATTAAGATGTGGCCATTAGGGTGTGGTAGTCCAATCTGACTGGTTTCCTTACAAAAGAAGGAAATTTGGACACACTGAGAGACACAGCGGGGATATGCATGCACGGAGGAAAGGCCACGTGAAGAGGCAGTAAGAAGGTGGCCATCTGCAAGCTGAGGGGAAAGGCCTCAGGGGAAATCTCACCATGCACAGAGGAAAGGCCTTGGGAAATCTCGCCGGCACTTTGAGCTTGGACTTTCAGCCTCCAGAACACTGAGAAATTAAATTTGCTGTCTAAGCCAACCAATAAATCTGCAGTTTTTGTTATGGCAGCCCTAGCCAACTAATACAGAGCTTTAAAAAACATTACTATGTACACTGTAGAATTTAATACTCTAAAAAGTTTTATTCCATCGTCTCCACTGACAGAATTTCTAAATTAATAAGAGAAAAGTTACACTAGGTAACATGATTAGTACATAAATGCCTTACGGGCAGATTTCCTTTGTTTACTGCTATATACCTAGTGCACAGGTGCTTAATTACTGAGAGAATGAATCAATGAATAAATTAATCAATAATTTTCTTCATAAAAATTAGAAAGACACATACCCTATTTTAACTTCCTGAAATGATTTCACTGCTTCAATGTTATATATTTAAACCAAGTGGTATTTGTTTTAAAATAAAATGTTCTTTTAAAACGTACGACTTTCCATTTATAAAAAGAAAATTTTATAAGTATATAAAGTGTGAAAAAGAAAATTTCAAAAATAAGTACATTCTTAAAGGAAGAAAAATTACATTCCAAAATGTAATGTACTAGATTTTCAAAGAAAAGGCTAATAATATATATCACAGTGTAGTTCTAAATGGATATAGGAGAACAATAATCAACTATTTCTAGCTGCAGACATATTATGGGGCCACTGCTATCAGCAAATGCTAATAGAAACTATTTCCCAATATATGAAAAAATTATTTAATTCATTCAGTTTAAGAAAGGAGTTTTTGGACTTTTTTCTTTGTACCCCACCTATCCAGCAGAAAAAGAAAGGAGTTTAATACACCATCCTGAAAGACTGAGGAACTAGCTAGAGTCCCATAGTCACTGAAGAATACTGTTTTTCCTTTGGAGAAACCATGAAGTCAATAAAAAGGGACTTTAAAATAGAACAGTACCCTAAAGATACTGGCTCAATGTAAAGGTTTGGTAGCACAGAAATGAGAAAGTACATTTCATCTTAGAAGAAGGAAGATACTAGAGGAGGGCTGTGCTTTTAATATCAAAAGGCATTTAACCTTAATTACTGTTAAAAATTATTCTAATCCAATTCTAACAAGCAAACTGCTATTGATCATTATTTATTACACAGTATTTTTCAATTTGAAATCTTTTTGAAACAGTATTCTTAAATAAGAATATCTTAAGTTACCTATTAGTGCTCAGTGAACTGTTTCAAGGAAACCTTACATACCACATACCATACCCTAAAAGCAAAGGGGCATACTCCTTTTACTTGAGTGTAATGGTAGCTCTTTTGCAATATTTACTTTTGCTTCTGAAGGCTGGAACAAAGAAGTGAGAAGGATAAAGAAACATAACAGGGACCGGGCGTGGTGGCTCACGCCTGTAATCCCAGCACTTTGAGAGAACAAGGCGGGTGGATCACCTGAGGTCAGGAGTTCGAGACCAGCCTGGCCAACTTGATTGAAACCCCATCTCTACTAAACATACAAAAAATGAGCCGAGTGTGGTGGCGGGCGCCTGTAATCCCAGCTACTCGGGAGGCTGACGTGGGAAAATCACTTGAATCCGGGAGGTGGAGGTTGCAGTGAACCGAGCCGAGGCTGCACCACTGCACTCCAGCCTGGGTGACAGAGTGAGACTCCATCTCAAAAAGAAAAGGAAAAAAAAAAAAGAAACATAACAGGAAGCAAACACTCAATAAAGCTATGTTTCAACCTTTATGTAGACATTTTACCAACTAGATGTGTGAAGAGAGAGCCTCAGTTGCACTTTTCTGCTTTATCTCAGCTAAACAGACACATTACTTGACAAGTTCTAAAATTAATCCGACTTCAGTAAAAATACTGCCTGTATGCATTAGGTCAGACACTGTAGATTGCTTTGCCCAACACTACAATCTGTTTTCCCTGCTTTTGTTTAATATAGAGGCTATAAAAGCTAAATACTGTACAGTCATCCTTTGGTATCTGTGGGGGACACGTTCCAGGACCTCCCAAAGAGACCAAAATCTGAAGATACTCAAGTCCCCTGATATAAAGTGGTGTATGTAGTATTTGCACATAACCTATGTACATCCTCCCATATACTTTAAATCATCTCTAGAGTACTTACATTGCCTAGTACAATGTTAATGCTATGTAAATAGTTGTTATAATGTATTGCTCAGGGAAAAATGACAAGAAAAAATGTCTGTATACGTTCAGTACAAACACAATTTTTCCCCCGAATTCTGATCCACAGTCGGTTGAATCCACAGATGCAGAACCATGGATACGAACAGCTGACTGCAGTTAGGTTTCCAACTCTCCCTTACTACTAGGAGAGTCCGTGTGACACAGTTTTAATCAATGAAATATACGCAGACATCTACTAGCTTCATAAACCACACTCCTTTCCCCTTTCCACCCTTTCCCCGTCTTTATGACTAGAGCTGCAACAGACATCTTTCAATGAAGCAAAGCCCAAGAAAAAAGATGTCCACAGCTGTAGCAGCTGCATATTTCCAAGCTGACTATAATGAGGAAAAAATAGGGGTCCATTTGTTTAAAGTCATTGTTAGTTTAGTATTTATTATTTGCAAATATCTTAAGCATATTTCACCCAGGGAGAAGTGGGGTGGGTAGTGGGGAAAATGATGTAATTGTAAGATAGGTCTTCTCGTTTTCCACCCAATTATCTCTTAACAGCAAAAAACAAATCATTAAGAATATGAAGCAACATAGCAAGGAGATACGAACAAGTCCCTGAAGCTACTTGTATCCCTGGCCAAGAAACACAGCTAAGTGGGAACAGTACCTTTTCCAATAAAATAGAATCGCCAAGGCTTTAACACCTTACACTATTTCCCTGCAGAGAGAAGACACCCAAAAAAACACTCCTGACTTTATACTGGGTGTTCTGCCTTCCCTCTGGGATTCTCTCACTTCAATTACTGCTGTCACCAAACATACTTTAATGCTTTATTACAAAAAGCATTCTGACGGCTTCTCTTAGGGCAGTTAGTAAAGGCAAGAACTTTCAAGAGCTTGATACTACAAAAAAACAAACAACTTTAACTAGCTTCACAAAATATAAGTTTCTGATCGTCACATACCTCATTTCCTCCTAGGGACCTTAGGCTCCGGCCTCACTGTGCCTACTATTTTGAAATAGCTAATTCTACACTACAGAGTTGGCATACCTTCAGAGGCACTATGATTTTGCTAATTTCTGTTCACATCCACCCCTAAAGAACTGCCTCCTAAACAGCTTCATAGTCTCTACATTAAGAACTTGAATGTCCTCTGCATTCTCCTCACATTCCCAAAGGTCCTTTCTCTGAGTTCTAACGCGAGACATGAGAGATTAAACAGGCTTCTTTCCACAGAGACTGACACCAGAAATTAACTCATGTTTTGCTGATACTGCTCCAATTATACACACGCATGCACACTCTCACTCTGACACACATGGGGACTTCCAAGATTCTATAGTAAACATATTGCTTCTTCATGATAATCTATTACTGTAACCTTCTTGGATAAATGTCTCATAAAGAACAGAATGGTTAAGAGGTAAACTCTAGTCCCATAGAAAACTGACTTTTTAAAGATACTTAATTTCCAACAAACAAGGTGGTGTTTTTATTCCTTTTCAAAAGCTCATTGCCATAAATGAAAATATTCAGCTTAGTTTTAAATGTGATTTGGAATTTACATAGTAAGATTACTTGTTGTTTACATACAAATTAAGGAAGTAAACAGTTATTAATTGACATTAGAAGTACTGTTAGAAAATAAACTTTTTGCACAGGCAATACTGGTATTAGTTTATACACTGGAAAGAAAGATGTGTTTACCCTTATTGTCTCAAGCCATTTCTGAAATGTTTTAACTAGAAGTTGTGGGATAATTCTGGTATAATTCCCAATGTGTATTCTTCTTTAATCACATATTAAAATTTTTAATTAATTTACTTGTCAGTTTCACCACAAAGCCTTAATAAATTTTGCATCTATCAAAATACACTAATGAAAAATGTGACTAGGATGCTGTAGTCTTAGAAACTATATTTCTACACGTCTCTTGTCAGTACTACCTGCCATAAAATTCAAACATTTTGGAAAACAATTTTTAAAAACTCTATCCACAAATGGTTAAGCCCCAAAATAACCCACTTCTTTTTATTTCCTAAATTAAAGTATCTAATGATTTCCTAAATTGTAAACATATAACTTAGATGCCCTTTTAACTATCTTTAATTACCAAGTTATGTGACATTTTCAATACAATATTTTCTTCATTTTCCCACCAGAGGGCAACCAAGAACCTCAAGTGGTGCTGTGCAATGAATTTAACAGCATCCAAAGTGGTTTAAAGGAGTGGAGGATAGGGGAGGACTTTAAAGTCCACCAAGACTATCAGACTAGTCATGAGCAATGCCATGTTACTTCTTAAAACCTTTTATAATAATAGTATTTTGAAACATCTTATATACATAAGATGTTTAATTTACCTACATATAAGGAGGAACATTTTTTACAGTGATTAGCTTTATAAAAATATTCCTTAAAAAATTTAAAATCCTTTTCCTAAAACACTCTGTTGTACATACCACATGAAAAAACAGGCTTAACACCTAGGGGAAAAAAATGTAGCCTTAGCTATTTAAACAATGCATATGAATTTTTTACTGGCTCATAGTTTAACAACCAATACGAATGTTAAATTTGTTAAAAATCTGTTTCTATCAGCAGCATACTTTTTCTTGTGCAATCATTTCCATTTCCTATTTCAGAAAATTTCTGAAATCTCAGTAGGAAAATAAGAATTCTCTGACAAAACAAAGAACTTAATGTAAAGAGGGAAAAATGCTTGGGTGACCAGAAAAGCAATATATTCTTTAACAACCTTTCAGCCTAATTTAATCAGCTAGCAATTTGAGACCTCTTCACATCAGCAATTGAAAAGTTTCAGTCATACAAAAACTAAAAAGAAAAAAAAGTTCGATTCAAAACAATACCTCAAAATAAGTAATTATTCCCCCAAATACTACGTTAGAGGGCTCTCTTCCTACAAATAGCTTTAAACCACATGTTGTTTTTATTGTTGCTGTTGTTGAGATGGAGTCTCGCTCTGTGGCCCAGGCCGGAGTGCAGTGGCGCGATCTTGGCTCACTGCAAGCTCCGCCTCCTGGGTTCACGCCATTCTCCTGCCTCAGCCCCCCAAGTAGCTGGGACTACAGGCACCCGCCACCGCACCCAGCTAATTTTTTTGTACTTTTTAGTAGAGACGGGGTTTCACCGTGTTAACCAGGACGGTCTCGATCTCCTGACCTCATGATCTACCTGCCTCAGCATATGTTGTTTTTGATTGCAGAAATCAGGTAAAAATGCACCCGCTCTTTGTTCCATCTAATATTTTATATAAGAATAACCATCTTTAAGGCAAACTACATTCATTTTATTTATATAGAACACATTACTAAATTAACCAGTTTCATTTATAGGAAATGAGTAGTAAAGTCATGGTTCTTTTGGTGTTTATTTTGTTCAAAAGCTTTCTTTCCTCTATACAATCTAAATAGCAACACAATTTAGTATCAAAATCAAAGTCTATGGCATTAGTTTAAATATTAAAACTGCCACAAGCAGTTTCTTCCATCAAAGTGATGTCAGAAACCATCTCCAGTCCTGCGTATCAATGGTGTTTCCTGTACACTTAATTCTCCACAGTAGCAACACATAAAAACCAAGTCAATAATTAATCCTCATTAATGGAAAATGACATTTTACATGCAGCTTTCATAAAAATCAGATCCTTTTCTACTATATCTTAACTGTGCACAGACCAATTCTTTACTCATGTCAGACACACAAAGGACAGGAATCTATTACATGAATTAAAGTCAATCAAACCATCTAACCTAAATTACATTTCTTTGCTGAAATACTATTGGATTTTAAAACCAAGCTTTTTAAGGAAGTATTATTCAAACCCACCTTACATCCAAACATTAAGGATATTGTGCTGTTGGAGCATGCTACTTTACAGTGGCATAACATCGGAGAAAAGCAATCCAAGTTTTTGATGCTAGGAGACATTTTTTCAGACCCTGAGCATTTAAATCGATCCAAGACTGAAATTCCAGAAAAATGCCTTTGTGCATGTTGTTTGCTGACTGTCTTGAACATTTAATCTAGATCCAAAGCATTCTTTTTAAAAAAAATTGTATTAAAATGTTGCATTCTTCATTGTTTCCACCCCCACAGCAGAGATCAGGTCGGTATACTATGATTGGAATTAAAATGCTGTTTCTTTTTCCTGCATAATAAAACTGCTTCACTAAAATTATAGTCAAATTACCAGAATGAAAGTGCTCATTTAGCACCACTTTGTCAGGGCCTTGCTAATATCCTTAAAATGTAATCCAGCATCGGATTCACCACAGAGCTCCACTTGCTGCAGTACAAGCTCTGCTATCTCCTCCATGAGAATAAGATACAACTCGAGCAGAGCCACTATGCTCAAATATATGCTGGCTGCTTTGGGGGAGGGGCAAAGATGTTGCAGCAAGGGATTCATTACACGGTTCAATAAGAGATGAGCCCAGAGCTTGTCATATGTGATGCTTTCTTACTACACCACTAAACACTGTAGTCTGATTTAAAATATAGTTTTAATGGTAAAAAGAGTACCTCAATTATCACATTTTGTAGTTTGATTCCTCTCTATAAACAATTCAAGCAACAACAACAAAAATCAATCATCTGGCAAAGTTAAGTAGAATAATTACAAATTAAACTTGGACAGTAAAAAAAGTTCAGTATTTTCTAATACATCAAAATCACTTAAAATCTGGAAAAACATTACTGAACCAATTTTGATGTATATCTATACCATATGGAAAGTTTAAAAGCAGAAAGTCAAGCAGTTTAACTCACCGACATATCACTGATTTATCCACTCTTTCAAATATTATTTTCTGTGCTTTGGCTTTTTAATCAACCCTTTGGCAGAAAAGCTATCATTAACTAATTACATTCAAAGCAACAAATAAAATACTGTGAAAATGTCATTCTTACAGTATTTTATATTTAAAATCTTGCACACAGATGTTACATCTTATGCAGTACCTTCGCTATAATTTAAATGGACAGTATTTATTGAAACTCAAAAGCTGAATTAACAAATGCCAGTAAAATACTAAATAACACACAAAGGAATATTTACTGCTTCATCTATGTAATTATCTTTTCTTTCTTCCACTATTATTTGGGTTGTTCTAAGTACTACATCTATATTGCAGTTAAGAAATATAATTGCTAATGAAGACTGTCAACTTTTACAAAACTGCCTGTAATCCCAGCACTTCAGGTGGCCGAGGTGGGTGGATCATCTGAGGGTCAGGAGTTCGAGACCAGCCTGGCCAACATGGTGAAACCCTGTCTCTAGTAAAAACACAAAAAAATTAGCCAGGCGTGGTGGTACGCACCTGTAGTCCCAGCTACTTGGGGGACTGGGGCAGGAGAATAGCTTGAAACTGGGAGATGGAAGTTGCAGTGAACCGAGATTGCGCCACTGCACTCCAGCCTGGGCGACAGAGTGAGACTCCATCTCAAAAAAAAACCAAAAAAACAAAAAACAAAAACAAGAACAATTTTACAAAACTAAAATTATCAATTCATATATTTGTACTCAACAGCCTGGTCTCTGTATGCTTAGTAAGCAAAGCTGTTTGTGGAAAAGTATACTATATTTTGCTATACACCAGAAACAGCGTGCCAAAAGACAAAAATTCCCTTACCACCAACCATAACTCTAATTCCAAACCTGCTCAAGAACACTTTTAATTCCAATTTCCTACACAATTCTCTATTCTGTTCCATTCCTACTTATGTAATTGTATAAGGGGTGAGAGAGAGAAAAAACTAGGTTACATTTCTAAAACAGTAAAGGAAATAGCTGGTTCTCCAATCTAATTACCCTGACAGGTAAATAACTGCAAATCACATGACTTGTGGAACTTAAATGAAAAGTCAAATGTCAACTGTAACTAGGGCAAGAAAAAGTAAACTGTGCTCCTTAGAAGCCTTTATATTTAAAAATACATTTACTAAGTCAGAGCCATAGTTGTTAAGCTGTGGTTCTCAGCCTTTTTCACTGCAGTGCCTCAGAGGTGTCACCAATGTTCTTTCATTTTAAAACTTTCATTTTCAAATTTACAAATTTTAATTTTAAAAACCTGGAAGCACAAATGTGTAACAAGTTTTAATACTGGTGTTTATCTATAACAATTTATTTATCCATACTACCAAGTAAACTCATTTTGTGTCAATCTCAAAATACAACTTCTCCAATTTTTGTGCACATGGAGGATTTGTCTCATTGATCATGTAGGTTGTACACGCTGAGTCTTAATAAAATTCAGTTCTGTGCAGACATGTCTGCTCCCCTAAAACTATATAAGCAAGCACATTATTTGGCACATGTCTAATAGAACAAAATGTCAGGCAAAGTTCAAGCATGTCCACTTAGCCTGTGCTCTTAATACAGTCTGCCTTATTCAGTTGGTTACACAATAAACATGTAATATATTCAACTATGATAATATTGTGCTATGATCATTTTAATGATTACTAGGAATTAACCAGTGTTTCTTGTCTGTTTTTTTAGTAAACTGAATGAATGAGTTCAACGTATACATTTTGGGTCAAAATTTACCATACCTAAAACTGCAGAAGACAGTATAAAAAACATGCATTTGATTTTGGGACCTACCAGGAAAAATGACTAATTTTGACTATTTTGAAACTCTGAGTGGATCTGATAGATTTGCACTAAAGTGTCTTAGGCTGTTCTGCTTTTTAATGATGTTATCTAACAAATCAATATCCCAGATACATTCAGCCAAATAGTACCTATCAAACTACCTAAGAAACAATATTTAAGTAATAATAATAAATAATTATTAACAGTAGCAATTGTCATTTAATAATTACTACTAGTCAGGCATTCTGCAAAGTGCTTTCATGTGTCAGAAAAATTATCAAAAGCTTGGAAAAAGAGGCAAAAAAATTGGTAGTACGTTCAATGCTGTATAGAGACAAAGGTTGTTCAAGATTATCCAGGGCAATGGTTTTCAACATGGAACAACTTTGCGCCCCCAGGGACACCTGGCAATGTCTGCTGCCCAATCGAGGAAAAGAGTCTACGGGCATCTAGTGGGTAGAAGCCAGGGATGCTACTAAACATTTTATAACAACACACTGGACAGCTTTCCACAACAAAGAATGATCTAGCCCAAAAATCAAGGATGCCTAAATTGAGAAATTCTAATTTAGGGGAATGCACACTTTAACACACTATTTACTAGAAGTCCCATCCCAGCACTTTAGGAGGTCAAAGTGGGAGGATTACTTGAGGCCAGAAGTTCGAGACCAGCCTAGTCAACACAGCAAGAGTCCATCTCTAAAAAAAATATAAATAAATACTTGGGAGGCTGAGGTGGAAAGATCACTTGAGCCCTTGAGCCACTGCTTGAGCTATGATTGAGCCACTGCACTCCAGCCTGGGTGACAGAGTGACAGCCTGTCTCTTAAAAAAAAAAAAAAAAAAAAAGTCCTAGACAGTGAAGTTATATATGTTAACCTGTAGCTTTTTATTCAATAGAGAAGCAAATAATTTTTGCCCAGATAACCACAAAGATTAAATTCCTGGCCTCGTTGGATATTAATCAGTTTCTTATCTAACTCAGCAATCTTCTATTAACATTGCCTATAAATACTTAGATAACAAATGCACTCTGGTCAAGTTTAACATCTTACTATTTCTCTCATTAACAAGTGAGTGGAATACAATCTGTGACACATGTTCATTCTACATTTGCCTAAGAACTTTGCTTTTTTGAAAATCATACCTTAACAAGCGTAATCGCCTTACTTAATCCAAATATGATTATTTGGATATACTTTAACACATGTAATTACCTTACTTAATCCAAATATGATCTACCTCTTACGAGGTAAAAAGTATTATAACGTCCATTTGATAAATGAGAGAAACTCAAGGCTTGGAGGAGTCACATAATTTATCCATGGTGTCACAGCTAGCAGAAATGGGAATCATGTCTGACTACAAAGCTCATTTTCAACAATTAATAAATGCAAGCCAAGGTTAGATATTTGGCGAGTCAAGTCCAAAGTCCTTACTATTCTTTCTACCTGCTAGAATGACAATTTAAGGCTATCAGGCAAGCTTTAAAACAGTTTTCAATTACTAATCTGTTTAAATTGGATTTTTCTCAGTACTGTATAACAAAATAGAGGGAAAAAAAGATGCTGAGATTAATGTTATCAAAATGTTTGCACTACTCAAAACTGCCTGTTTAGATTTATATAATAAACAAATGTAAATATGAATTTATTAAGTAAATATATGGTAATAAATACTACCTATATTACATATTACAGTTCCATGTTTAAAATTTCACTGTCAACTGAAATCTTATAAAAGGGTTAAAATACAAGAGCAACACCCAACCAAACTCCTTCACCTGTCACATTAACTGGAGATCAAACAATATAGTAAAAACATCCAACTATTTAGTCATGAAATTTTTTCATTATATATTAACTCATTATCAAACAAATGCTGAGTTATTGTTACTATCATAAAACAAGGGTAAGCTAACAAATTTTTTAAGTCCAAAAGAAGCTAAACTTGTAGACCAGCAGTGTTTAAATAAGCAGTGTTGTGCTTTTCTTTTTTAATTCCTAGATGATTTTGACATGTCACTGTCCCCAATCCCACTGATTTTCAAAACATCATGGTAAATCTATTGATAAATATTTGAGTTTCATACCAAAGATAGTAATAGCATCTTTATGTAAACAATTGTAATTCCTACAGAGCAGAGGACTTAGGTAAGATCACAAAGTGATGTTACATCTCAAGACCAGAAGTATACATCTTAAAGAATATTTGAATTTAATTTTCACACTTGCCAAAAAACAAGAATAAAATGATAGTAGTATCTGCTAAGAAATGACATTGCTTTCCATGATTCTTCCAACTGCTTTACATATAGTATGTTATTTAATCATCTTAATGCTAAGTAAGTTATAGCATATAACTAGTTGCTATAACACCTAAGTTTCCATGGTGACAGCTTCAACATGAAGAATTAATGAACATTCACTGATAATTTCAACATTAGAAACTATCTCCAACAGAAGCGCCTAACAGTTCTTAACAGTGAAGAAATGCAGCTAGATCACACTGCTGTAAGAGAACCATATGGGATTTAAATGATTAATGGAGTTAGAGAAACACTATTTTTCTTAAATTACGTGAAGAATTAATGCTGTGGTTTGCTTATTTGCTGTCTTTTTGAAACGGCAGGAATTAAGCAGTGACATTAGATACCTATGAATTTGCCATCAATTTGTCTGGCAAAGAATAGCCCACAATAATGTGGACATTTCTGTTATAAGTAGGCTTACAAAGTTGATTTAGCAAAAATACCATACAACTGATTACATTTTGTTGTAAGAATACTAACATACAGCCAGGTGTGGTCTTACACCTATAATCCCAACACTTTGGGAGGCCGAGCGGGCGGGTCGCTTAAGCTCAGGAATTCAAGACCAGCTTGGGCAACAGAGCGAAACCCTGTCTCTACAAAAAATACAAAAATTAGCCAGGCATGGTGGCAGGCGCCTGTAGTCCCAGCTACTCGGGGGGCTGAGGTGGGAGTTGGCTTGAGTCTGGGAGGTGAAGGTTGCAGTGAGTCAAGATTGCACCACTGTATTCCAGCCTGGGGAAGAGAACCAGACCCTGTTAAAAAAAAAAAAACAACAAAAAACAAAACAACAAAAACCAAAAAACAAAAACCACTAAAATGCTACTCTGCCAAATAAAATGTTGAATGAAAATTAAAATTAATGTCAAATCAAATGCAGTAACATTCACTCTTGATCAAACTGCACTACCTTGACTGATTTCAATTAACCACAGAATTTCAGCTGCTTTCACAGTTGAAGACAGCCAATTAGAAGAAATGAACAAATTAAACTGTGACTACATACAATTTCAATAATGGGGCAAACCTGTAAGATACAAATCATACCATGAAACCGCAATGTACATGGTCACAATGGAGAGCATAAGAATCAGAGGAACACCAACAAATTCATGCAAATAATTTGCTTTGTGTATTACTATTTATAAATCTGTTCTAAAAGGAAACCTGGTATAATCTCAATCACCTAAATTTGAGCACAAAAAACAGCTATTTGGATTGCCACTCTACTCTGAGTGGCACTGTTCTGTCATAGTAATGGGTGATAAAAATGTGAAAGAAGACCAGGCATGGTGGCTCACTCCTGTAATCCCAGCACTTTGGGAGGCTGAGGGGGGAAGACAACTGAGCACAGGAGTTCTGGCTGCAGTGAGCTATGATCACGCCACTGTACTCCAGCATGGATGACAGAGACCTTGTCTCTTAAAAAAAAAAAAAAAAAAAGGTGCAAGAAGAGCCATGCTAATGATACTGCTCATGGTAACAAAAAGAAAACTATTATTTTAGAAAAAGCTGGAACTGGGCTCAGTATTAGGTTTATAGCTCTATGCTTAAATATTTAAAACCATTTAAAAAATAAATTCATGGAGGAAACAAAACTTTGTTATCATGGGTCTGAAACTCTGACCTCTAACCTACTAGATCCAAATCTTGAACATTCATCAGAAGCAAATGAACTTGTTAGAAATGCATCCTGCAGGCACTTCATGAATATTTGTTCAACAAATGGTATTAAATTATCTGCCGTGGTTCTCATTTAAGGCTACATGATATGCAACGCACAGTTGATCCTAAAATTACCATCTATCTGGCAGAAAAAAAAAAAAAACTATGAAAAGCTTCCTTGTGCCAAATTTGAGAACTACTAAGTATCTCCACAGAAAAAGCACGTGACAAAATCCAACAACTATTCATGATAAGGGGCACCTACAAAAAACCTACATTTAACACCATAATTAATGGTGAAAGACGATGCTTTCTCCTTAAGACCAGAAACAAAGAAGGATTTACACTCTCATTATTCCTATTCAAAACTGTACTGGACATTCTAACCAGTGTAATCAGGCAAGAAAAATAAAAAGCATAACTGACTGGAAAGGAAGAAGTAATTACAAAATATGTAGAAAATCCTAAGGAAGGAATCGTCAGAAAACTTAAAACTGCAGGATACAAGAGTAAAATAAAAAAATTATGATTACATATAATGAATAATCTGAAAACAAAATTAAGAAAATAATTCCATGCACAAAAACATTTAAAAGCATAAAAAATTTAGTAATAAATGTAATAAAAGTGCAATACTCATACACTGAAAGTTATAAACGCATTATTAATAGAAATTAAAGATGATTTAAATAAATAGATGGTCCATATTCATGGATTAGAAGAACTGCCAAGTAAAAGTAGCAACTATCATTTTTCAACTACTTCTATTGGAAGGTTTTTTAAAAACTTAAATTCTTTTTTTGAGACAGAGTCTAGCTCCATCGCCCAGGCTGGTGTGCAGTGGTGGGATCTCAGCTCACTGCAACCTCCACGTCGCAGGTTCAAGCAATTCTCCTGCCTCAGTCTCCCAAGTAGCTGGGATTACAGGTGCGCACCACGATGCCCGGCTTTTTTGTATTTTTGGTAGAGACGGGGTTTCACCATGTTGGCCAGGTTGGACTCAAACCCCTGACCTTGGGTGATCTGCCCACCTTGGCCTCCCAAAGTGCTGGGATTACAGGTGTGAGCCACCATGCCTGGCTAATTTTTGTATTTTTAGTAGAGACGGGGTTTCACCATATTGGCCAGGCTGGTCTTGAACTCCTGACCTCAAGTGATCTGCCCACCTCAGCTTCCCAAAGTGCTGGGATTACAGGCGTAAGCCACCGTGCCCAGCCTTAAAGGTTTTATGTAAGCTTCTACAAGCCATGACTCCTATCTCATACAGTTTGCTTCAGGCTTCTCCATGTTCAAGGAAACTAAAGAAATCCATCCATTATACACTGGAAGCGGAGCTCTGATAAACAATATCCATGGTAAACACATTTGCTTCTAGCATAAAACTTCTTTGAAACAGCATCTTAGGTGGAAGTCCCCAAAAAACGAAATAGATGAACACAAAGAGGCTGTGGCTGAGCGCCAATGAGTCTCATCTTATGTCCTACTAAGCCAATCAACACACAGTCTTTAAGGAAACCTAGAATACCAGAGATAAGGTTTTGAACAGTGGTTCCCAAATGGTGAGATATCCAAAGAAGATTCCCAGGTATTTAGTCTAATTTAAGCCTAACGATCTTTATTTTTAACGAGCTCCCTGTCCAGTTCTAATACACAGACAGGCTTACAACCCCAGATGATCCAATTAAGAAAAGCAAAGCACAGTTCTCAAACCAAATTGAGTGTAAAATTTCAATGCAGAATGCTTTTCTCAGGGAGGAGGAAATGGATAAAACAAGGACAAAACATTTCCAAAAAGTATAATGGATGAATTTAGGAGTAGAGTTTTAACTGACTGGAGATCTTACTTTTGAAAAGAATAAAAATGTCTAATCAATCCCACATTCTCTAAATAAATGATGATATATTCCTGTTGTGAAATCTTAAACTGCCATTATAATATGGACAGACAAGCATAGTTTTAAAGAACATGTAATAACATGAAAAACTAACCTTGGACTAAAATTTTGCCTTTTAGCAAAACAAACAAACAAAAACACAATACAAACTGGGGGAACAAAGAAAGAGGGCTGTATGTCTGTTTATGCCCCGTAATTATGTATAAAAGGGGTTATATATATAATCACAGAAAAATGACTAGAACACAGAAAAATGTTAATAGAGGTAAGATATGGAGTCTGAGTTTACATGAGACTTAGGTTCATTTTTGTGTATTTCTAAACTCTACAATGAACATACATTGTATCTCCCTCATCCCAAAAAGTCACGTCAAAAGTTATGTTTTTTAAGGAAACTACTGAAGTAGTAGTTTCTATTCCAGAGTAACCAGCTTAAATCTATTGTGAAATTAAACAGGATCTAAATAAACAAAATATGAAAAAACTTCTACGTCAGGCCATGAAGAAGTTAACTGGTACAGAACTTGACCTTCTGCCTTAAAACAACTAGAAAACTAGAAAAAAAATACATGCCACAACAGTTTTCAGCACTGGACAACAAGCAGTACAGGACTACAATACCTGAGAGAAGGAAAACAAAGTGAGCTCTACGATCTTCCTGGCTTCCTGCCTGGAGGCCATTTTTTGGAACTTGACACATGATGGAGAAACCCAAGCCAATACAGCCATCTTACTGGGTTGACAAAAATCAAGACTGGTGTTCAAGGAGACGGAAGCACTGGAATGTGCAAGGCAGAATACTGGAAAGAAGAAGGCTAAGCAGAAAAAGAGCTCCAGAAATCAAATAGTGAGTACCCTTGAGACTTCAGTCTGAATACTAATCAACACGTGAACAGCATAAAATTCAACAAGGCCAGGCAAATAAAACTGTAAGGGACTTATAAACAAGCTTCAGAGCTCACAGTAAGCTGAGGAGTGTTCAAACTTATACAGAGCAGAGGGGCCTCAATAAACACTTGTAGTAATCAGTGGACACTCCTAGACAGTCAAGCCTTAGCATTAAGGCTAAGCTGGCCTTAAAGAAAAGGCTACTTGAGATCCAACTTTTAAAAAGCTTTAAAAAGTCTTGAACTGATCAACCTTATCTGCAAATGACTTAATTGCCTTCCAAAACAAACAACAGTATTTTCCAGAGAAAACAGTACTTAGGAACACTCAATTACATTCACAATGTCTGGGATCCAATGAAAAATAACCAGATATGCAAAGAAGCAGAAAACTGTGAGCCATCAGAGGAGGAAAGCCAGTTCATAATAGACTTAGAAATGCAAAATGACAGAATTAGCAGATAAAAACTCAAAAACACTCATAAAACTTAAGTATGCTCAAGGACTTAAAGGAAAACATGAATATCATGACAGAAATGGAACCAATAAAAACATACCAAATGGAATGAGGTTTTAAACGTGCTGGGAAAAAAAACCTGTCAACCCAGAATTTTTTTCATCAAAACTATCATTCAAAAATAAAGGCAGGCTAGTCATGGTGGCTCATGCCTGTAATCCCAGTACTCTGGGAGCCCAAGGTAGGCAGACTGCTTGAGACCAGGAGTTCAAGAGTGGCATGAGCAACATGGCGAAATCCCGTCTCTACAAAAAGTAAAAAATCAGCTGGGTGTGGTGGGGCATGCCTGTAGTTCCAGCTACTTGGGAGGCTGAAGCAGGAGGATCACTTAAGCCTGGGAGGAAAAGGTTCCAGTGAGCTGAGATGGCACCACTGCACTCCATCCTGGGCAACAGAGTGAGATCCTGTCTCAAAAATTAAAAAAAAGACAAAATAAAAATACTTCTTTCAAGTAAACAACAGCTGAGAGAATTCATCACCAGAAGAAATGCATTTCAAGAAATGTTAAAGAAGTTCTTCACGCTGAAAAAAAATACATCAGGTGACCTACAAGATAAAATAAAGACCATCAAACACTGTGTGAATATTAACAACTTTATTTGAACTACTGTTCAAAATGATCATTTGGCTGGCCCTACATTGCCTATGGGATAAAGTCCAAACTACTCAGCTCAGTGTTTATGGGACTCAACGCCCAATCACATTACCTCTCTCCACTAGCACTAGACCTAGTTTCAAAGGTGGGTTGTCCCTAAAGGGGGACAGGGGAAAGCTACAGCTGCAGAACCAAAGTCAAGAAAAGTCGATTTTCACAGTTTTACCAAGTAACGGAGGTGGTAGACAATCTATAATCAGATGGGGGAAGAAATCTTACCAGGAAGCAGATCAACAAATGCTAAGTATACTTTAGCTGTTAACATTTGCTGTTTTATTCAAGAATATTCATCTTTCAAAATAAATATATTATTTTATTCAAACATCATTTGCTGTCCATAATGAATTCTGTTACTACCAAACTATGAATTAGGAAAGGTTATTTAATTTACATACTGGAGAACAAACAGGCAGTCATTTAATTGACTAAAATTTAAGAGTGCAAAAAACAAAAACAACCCACAATAACTAGCGTCTGGGAGCTCCTGCTCAGATCAGAATGTGGAAGGTCACACAGACAATGGCTTGTACCATAACAACTAGAAAAAAAAGATAAACATATCTTTTAAAGACAATGAGGGCTTCCAATTGAAAGAGAGCGTAGACACTTTCCTATGCCACATGCTACATACAACTAAAATCTTTGGCCATTATATATAAAACAAAAATAAGACTGAAAGGTGAAAAGAGGGTGGCAGACTAGCTAGGAATGTAGAACCCTAAGGAAGACACGGCAGTCAGTCCCTGAGTTTTCTTTTTTACCTCAGACTATCCCAGGATTTCAGCTGAAGAAATGAGCAACCCAGAAACGCCAATGGTACAGACCTACCTTGTGCCAAAAAAGAGAGACACCAATAGAAGCTCTTTTAGGCTTTTGTTGCCACAGGAACAGAAAGGGGCAGCCTAGCAAGATACAACTTTTAGATGACAACTGCTCTATTCCAGCTAAACACCACAGAAAAAAACTCTGTCACCAACCATATACACACCAGCAAAGACCAGCAGGTAGCCTAGAATTCCACTCTCATGAGGCTGTAACAAGGTGTCCCAACCATCTTCCCCAACTGGGGCTGGGTCAGAGAAGGCCAATTAAGGAGCTGGGACATTTGTTCCCATCCAGCAATAAAGAGACAGCCCTCTCCACTGGCCGGGGGTAGAGGGAATGTTAGAAGAGGTATAGTCAGGAGACGGGATTTTCCCCACTATCCAGCAGTAACAAGGTGCACAACCCTACTTCTACATACTGTCACATGAGGAGCAGTAATGAGGCATTCCAACTTCTAGCCAGTATTAATGGAGAACTAACGGGGAGCTGGAACTCCCACTGGCACCCAGCAGTTCTCAACTGATTTTATGAAGTTTTAGTACTGTCTTGATTCCAAAAGCAGACACGTGGGAAGCCTAGACTTGCATCCAAATCCACTGGTAACAAAAGCTTCTACCCCATGCAGTGTTAGTGAAGACCACATGGGGAACTATAACTAACACCCTATCCCAACAGGAGTGAGGAGTATTCTCTCTTAGGTGTGGAAGGAAGCAGTGTGAGAAACCTGACTTTTACCTCCACTAAGCAGTAAGGAAGCAGTGCCCCACCTTTCACTGTCAGAGCAGCGTCAGAGAAAATGAGCCAAAACACAGGGTTTAAATAAGATCTAGCGTCTCATAATACAAAAAATGTCGAAGTTTCCCTTGAAAATCACTGAGAACCAGGAATATCTCAAACTGAATATAAAAAGACAATCAGGAGATGCCAACATCAAGACACCACAGATGTTAGACTTACCTAACAGAGTTTAAAGTAGGCGTCATATAAAAAATTAATGAACAATTACAAATATACATGAAACAAATGAAATAATAAAAACTCACAGCAAAGAAATAGAAAGTCTAAGCAAAGAAATACAAGACACAAAGAACTATATGGAAATGACAGAACTGAAAATACAATAACACTAAAGACTCAATGTGAACAACAGAGGAAAAAGATTTAAGTGAAAAGTGAATACAGCCTAAGGGATCTGTGAGACACCATACAGAATGTCAATCCATTTGAAAAGATAGATATAGCACATGAACTATCATCTCCAGCTACAACTGGATGAAGTCAGAAATCAGTAATAGAAGGAAAACTGGAAAATTCACCAATTTGTGGAAATTAAACACACTCTTACACAAGCAATGAATCAAAGAAGAAATCAAAAAGGAAATTAGAAGATATTTACATATGAATGAACACAAAAACACAACATAACAAAATTTATGGTATAAAGTGAAAGCAGTGCTAAGGAGTAAATGTATAGCTCTAAATGCTTACATTACAAAACAAGAAAGATCTCAAATCAAGAACCTAGTCTAAAACTTAAGGAACTAGTAAAACAAGAACAAACGAAACACAAGGTTAGCAGGAGGAAAAAAATAATAAAGATGAGGGCAGAGATACACAAAATAGAGAACAGAGAAACAGAAGAAAAAACTTAATGAAACCAAAAGTTGTTTCTTTAAATAAACAAAAACACAAACCTTTAACTATATGGAATTAAGAGAGAAAGAAGACTCAAATTACTAAAATCAGAAATGAAAGTGAGAACATTTCAATCAATTCTAGAGAAATAAATAGGATAACAGAGTCCTATATAGAGCAAGTAAATGCCAACAAACTAGATAACCTAAATGAAATGGAAAACTCCTAGAAACACAAAACCTATCAAGACTAAACCATGAAGAAAGAGAAAATCTAAATAGATCTATAATTAGCAGAGACACTGAATAAGTAATCAAAAATCTTTCAACAAAGAAAAGTCCTGGACCTGAAGGCTTCACTGGTGAATTCTGCCAACCATTTAAAGAAAAATTAATGCCAATCCTTCTCAAACTTTTCCAAAAAATTAAGGAGGAGGGACTACTCACTCCTAAACTCATTTCATTAAGCCAGCGCTACCAAATACCAAGGCCAAAGATAGTACTAGAAAAGAAAACTACAGACCAATATCCTTCATGAACAGTGATACAAAAATCCTCAATAAAATACTAGCAAATCAGATTGACAGCATATTAAAAGGATTACACACCATGACCCAGTGGGATTGGGATTTATTCCTGGAATATAGAATAAATCAACATACAAAAATTAATCAAGAGGATTTCCAGTTCCAAAATGTCAGCACAGAAGCAAGCTGGCTTCACTCCTCTCACAGAAAACCAAAAACAAATATACAGAGCCGATGTTATTACCAGGAATATCCCAGAACTCATATGAAGATGCGACAGTTCAGGGGCCACAGAAAAGTTAAAAAAAAAAAAAAGAATTCTAGCAGATGGTGAAAGAATTGGACTTCCACATCCATGATGTCCCTCCCCTCATTCTGGCCAGCACCTAATGGGCAAAAAATTTTCCCACAACTCACTGTTTCTACACTGGAAAAAGTGAGACTGAGATATAACTCATGCTTCCCCATCATCTAATGTTCTCTGGCAGGAGACTGTCCCTTATCTTAGCCCACAGGATGCATCTCAAATGCCAGAAGGGAAAAATATCCCTGCGGATAGGCAGAAACAAAAAAGGGAGGCAAGACTACCATCTCCAGCTCTGGAAATTCTACTGTAACTCAGCCAAGCAAGACACTGAATCAGAGTAGATGTTCATTAGATGTTCATCAACACCATCTGTAGAAGGTTTATTGTACAGGTCCCCTGGGCAGGAACTCCTAGCCAGCATTCCCACACTACTGGGACATCCCCTTTGGAATCTCCCTCATTCGGGAAGAACAGTGCTCTGGTTCTTTACTAGAACCTAGGTGAACCTGGGCTTAAGGTAACTAGAGAGAGCTAAAAAGGAGGCAGCAACCTAACAGTAAAGAACTTCTAAGCAAATACATCCAGTAAAAACCAAAACAAGCCAGACAGAGAAGGCTGAATAAAACAGCCACAACAAACAACAGAAAACAGGTACCCATGATCTCCCCAAATGGACAAAGCAAGGAACCAATAACTGACACTAATGAGATAGTGATCTATGAGCTCTCTGACCAATATTCAAAGTAGTATTTTTAAGAAAACTCAGTGATCTCCAAGATAACACAGAAATGCAATTCAGAAATTTATCAGGAAATTTTAAAAAGAGATTAAAGTAATTTTTTAAAATTATCCAAGTCATAACACCAAAAGAAAAGAAAAGAAAAAAATCAAACAGAAATCTTGGAACTGAGAAATACACTTGCTGAACTGATTCATTAGAGGCTCTTGACATAAGAGAGGATCAAGCAGAGTAAACAATCATTAGGCTCAGAGACAGGCTATGAAAACACACATAGGAGAAAAAAGAATGAAAAGCAACAAAGATTGCCTATAAGATATAGAAAATTACCTCAAAAAAAAAATGTAAGAATTATTAGTGTTCAAAGAAAGTTGAGCAAAAGCATGAGGTAGAAAGCTTATTCAAAGAAATAATAGAAAACTTTCCACAACTTGAGAAAAATGTAAATATCCTAGTACAGGAAGGTCAGAAAACACATTTGACCCAAATAAGATTACCCAAAGGCATATAATAATCAAATTTGAAAAGTCAAAGACAAAGAGAGGATCCTAAAAGCAGCAATAGAAAAGAAACAAATAACATATAAAGAAGCTCTACCTTGTATGACAACAGACTTCTCAACGGAAACCATACAGGCCAGGAAGGGACAGGAACATTTTTAATGTGCTCAAAGAAAAAAACCAAAACTACCATCCAGGAATATCCTTGTCCAGCAAAATTACCCTTCACATATGAAGGGGAGATAAAGACTCCCACACAAACAAAAGCTAAGAGAATTCACCACCACAAGACTCATATTACAAAAAAAATGCTAAAAGGAATTACTCAATCTGGAAGAAAAAAACACTACCATGAAAAATAAAACAAACTAAAAAAACATTTGAAGGTGTAAAACCCACTGGTAAAATTATGTATACACAAAAAACCCAAAATACTTTACTATTGTAATTGTGGTATGCAATCCACTCACGACTCTAGTATTATATAAAGCCCAAAAGATAAATCTATCAAAAACAGTAACAGTTACAACAACCTGTTAAGTGGCAGATAATATAAAAATAGATAAACTGAGACAATTAAAAGCCTCTAATGAATTCTTAGAGGGAGGGATGAAGTTAAATTGTGGAAGTTCTTTCAAATTTTCCTTTGTTTCTATTCTTTTGTGATCTAAGATAAGTTGTCAACTCTTTAAGATAATTTGTTATTTTTTTGTAAACCTCATGGTAACCACGATGCAAAAACCTATAACAAATTCACTAAAAATAAAAAGCAACACATTAAAACATACCACCAGAGAAAATCTCTTAACCACAAGAAAGGAAGAGTTACGAAACAATCAGAAAACAAGCAACAAAATGGCAGTAGTCTTTACTTATCAATAATACTACTGAAGGTAAATGCACTCAGTTCTCCAATTAAAAGGCAAAGAAAGAAACAAGACCCAATTCCATGCTGTCTACAAGAAACCCACTTCACCTATTAAGATACACATACATTAAAAGGGAGGGAAAAGATATTTCATGCAACTGGAAACCAAAAAAGCTCAGGAGCAACTATGCTTCTATCAGATAAAGTGGACTACAAATCAAAGACTGTAAAAAAAAGACAAAGAAGGTCACTATATGATGATAAAGGAGTCAGTCAATTCAGCAAGAGGATATAACAATTATAAATATTCACCCATCAGAGCTCCCAAGTATATATAAAAAAATTAATACATCCAAGGGGATAGACTGCAATACAATAATAGTAGGAGACTTTAATACCCTACTCTCAGAAATGGACAGATAACCCAGACAGAAAATAAACAAAGAAACACTGGAGTTAAACTACAAACTAGACCTAATAGGCCTAACTGACATTTACAGAACATTCCACCCAACTGCTGGAGAATACACATTCTTTTTATCAGCACATAAAACATGCTCCAGAATGGACCATTATCATAGGCCATGAGTCTGAACAAATAAAAAAAAAAATAGAAATCATATCAAATATCTTTTCTGACCACAAAAAGAATAAAAATACATATCAATAAAAAGAACCTCAAGAACTTCAAAAACGTATGGAAATTAGACAACATGCTCCTGAACAATGAAGAAATTCAGAAGGAAACTTAAAAACTTGAAACAAATGAAAATGGAAACACAACATACCAAAGCTATGGAATACAGCAAAAGCAGTATTAAGCAGGTTTATGGCAATAAACACCTGCATCAAAAAAGTAGAAATAGGCTGGGCATGATGATTCATGCCTGTAATCTCAGCACTTTGGGAGGTCACAGCAGGATTGCTTGAGACCAGGAGTTCAAGATCCTGCAGTCTGGACATGCCTGTAGTCCCAGCTGCTTGAAGAATTAGGCAAGAGGATGCCTTGTGTTAGAAATAAGAGCTCAGAGTTGCAAAGAAAATGAGCACTCAAACAAAAGACTTCTCAGCAAGGCAAATTTCAGAAGGGTGCTGCCTGCGTTAGTTACGATCGCAAGAGCACACCAAACAAAGGAAAGCAGGGGTTTTTATTCCCAATGCCGTTCCTGTTTCTGTGTCCTCCCCCAGTTAATTAGGGTAGGACCACACAATCTAAACTGATTCCGACTGACTAGATTTAGCATTTAGAAAAGGAAAAAGAACCAGGAAATTCATTGTTTGAACCTAACAACTTCGAGTAAGGCGGCATGGGTCAGCTACAAGGTTGGTGGATGGAGGCATGCCTGGGCCTGTTAAAGGCAGGAAAAACTACTTATGTAATAGAACAAAGGAAAAGGGGGGTGAAACCCTTTGAAGAGAAACTGTTTGTTCCTAACAATTTTCCCCTCTTGAATTTACACACTTTCTTCTTCAAACTTACCTAACATGACCTGACTTTGCTGTTCCTCACTGTCTAGAAGTAAAAGTTTGTTAAACTAGGGTGGAAAAGAAATCAGGAAAGTTTCAGTAAGGGCTGTTGTAATAAGTCTTTCAACTAATAGGGATGAAGGTACAACACTGGGTTCCTATCATGACACAGACTCCACCTCTTTTTTTTTTGCTAATATCATACCTAGCGCCATCCTATTTTCCCAGACCATTTGGCTAGTAGGCCCTAATTGTTGAGCTATTCTTTTAATGGCATTCCTAGTATAACTGACAAATCGTTGTTGGTTATAGTAGATATAATTTATCCAATCTACATTTTTATTAATTGTTGACCACCAGAATAACATGGACTCAGACCCTGCAGTTATCTGATTTCGGGCTTTAAATTCATTTCGTACCCCTCGTGGGACTCCAACGGCGTCTATATAAACATGAGAGTCAAAGGACCCACGAGGGACATCTCTTGTTTTACGATGTTTTATCTTTTCTGGTTGATGAAATGCCAGAGTGAAAGGGATATCCAATTGGATCAGAGTGCAAGTGCCGCTCCAGTTACTTGGCAGAGTATCCAGTAATAGTCCACCACAATACCATCCTACATTTGCTTGGGGATGAATAAGGGGAGACTGATTAGTAAGCTCCTGGAAGGGCTTAAGCTCACTGCATCCCTTTAGGTCTCCAAGAAATGCCAAGTTTTCCCCGTGTTGTGAGAGACATGAGGTAAAACTGGCATGGGGAAATGGAAGCTTGATGGCCCTTGGGGGCTGACCCGCAGGGTGCTGGACTTGAGGGAATAGCAGAGAGGGAGCTTGGCATAACTTATTACCCCAGGATGTGAGGTGTTGGAAGGGAACTACCATACAGTTCATGCCTGGTAGACTGGAGGACCATTCGAGTGGAAAGGGGACAATCTGGGCCTTTGGCCTGCTGTGCGCACAAGCATAGCAATCATTTTTGTTTAGAGTGCAGACAGAATATTTAATCCATTTCAGCCAGGCATTTGCATCTCGGTACCCTGTTTCAATGATTAGGTTTGTTTTAGATCTTTTACCTCTACGACGGCCACTTTGGTTTTGTTACTGGGTGAGGAAAGGATAATTGTCTGACAGTAGAGAGGGGAAAGAAAAAAAGGCACTATAAGAGGGTTAAGCTTTTTTTTTTTTATCTTTAGCTTGGTAGGAATTGGTCTCGGAACAATAGCGCATGACTTTGAAGATGGCGATGCTTTTTTGACTGGGGTATGATGGGTCTGCATTTTTTTGTTGTTGTTTGGACTGCAGTCTTGGTGGTTAGAAGCACGAGATAGGGTCCTTCCCAAGCTGGTTTGAGTTTTCCTTCTTTCCAGCTTCTGATGAGAACATCATCCCCAGGCTGATGCTGATGTGCTGGGAACTCCAAGGGTGGCATCTGTACTAAAAAGCCTTTAGCTTTGAGGGAAGAGAAAGTGGAAGAGAGACCAAGTACATAGCTCTTGAGAAACTGACTTTTAGTTTCAAACGTAGGAATGTCAACAGTGAAGTGTGAGTAAGGCAGCCTATACAGCATTTCACAAGGAGATAAGCCAACTTCTTTCTGAGGGACAGTTCGGACCTTTAATAAGGCAATAGGAAGGCACTTGGTCCATGATAATCGAGTTTTTAAAACTAATTTGGTTAGATGGCTTTTTAGGGTTTGGTTCATTCTTTCTACTCTTTCTGATGAAGGTGGGTGCCAGGGGGTATGGTATTCCCACTTTATTTCTAATATCTGGGCTAGCTTTATATTGTCATGTGCAGTGAAATGGATTCCATTATCTGAATCAATGTTTTCTATTAATCCAAACTTGGGTATAACATTTTCTATGAGTGTCTTAACTACATTGTTGGTGGTTGCACTTGAAAAAGAAATTGCATTTACCCAGTGAGTAAGGTGATCTACTATCACCAGTAGATACTTTAGGCGGCCTGTTGGGGGTATTTTGGTATAATCAATTTGGATACTTCGGAGTGGCCTTAATCTTGGGTTTCTTCCTCCAAGGGGTGGTTTTCTTAGGGTTTATTAGTTTTCTTACATATTAGACAATTATCTGTAACTTGTTTTGCTAGAGTATAAATTCCTATACATCCATAGACTTTAAGAACTGCATCACACATAGCCTGAGGTCCCCAGTGGGTTTCTTGATGTAGCTGAGACAAAACCTCCCTCATGAGAGATTTGGTTAGCATTTCTCTTTGGTCTGGTAACACCCATTTACCTTCTGAGTTTTCTTTGGCTCCTATTTTTATTAATTTCTCCTTTTCAGCGGGAGTGAAGATGGGAATGGCAGTTGGGGGAGAAAGACAATGAGTTGGTGGAAAATGCATGTTTCAGAGGAAAAAGCAGTTTGTTTGGCTCTTTGGTCTGCGAGGTTATTCCCTCGTCTTTTAAAAGAGATTTTTTTTGATGTCCTGGGACATGGACAATACTTTTTTTTTTTTGGGGGGGGGGGAGGTGGCAAATGAAGGTTATCCAGTACCTGGGTGATTAATTAACTGTGGACAAGGTCTTGGCCCTTGCTACTGATGAGACTTCGTTTAGTCCAAATTTTTCTAAAGGTATGGGCTACCCTGAAGGCATACTTGGAATTAGTATAAATAGTTCCTTCTTGATTTTGTAAATGTTCTAAGGCTTGATTTATTGCAAACAATTCACATGTTTGAGCGGACCGATTATTGGGCAGTCTTTCTGACTCGACTTCTGCGACAGCTTCCCCATCGACCACTGAATACCCATTATGTTTTTTTCCTTCAATTACCTGGGAGGAGCCATCTATGAATAGCTGTTGTCTTGTTTTGAAAGGGGTCCCTTAAATCAGGCCTGACCTCTGTGCGATAATTAACTAAATTTAAGCACTTACACTTAGGCCCTTTTAGGTTTGGGTTCCCTGTCAGGAAACCTGGTGTGTTGAGTGAACTGTCAGTGGTTAGTGTTAAGTCATCTCTCTTTAGTAAGGGAGCTTCACACTTTAAAATTCTTGAGTTGGTGGGCCATCTTCCTACCTTTTGATTTAAGATTGTCCTAACCTGAAGGGGTGTGCTCACCATCAAGTTTCCCCCAAAGGTTAGCTTCCTGCTTTCTTCAGTTAAGGCAGTAGCTGTAATAGACTGAATAAATTTGGGCCACCCACAGGTTACTGGGTTTAAACTTTTGATAGGAAGGCCACAGGTTGTTGGTGACCCCCATGTTCTTGAGTAAGCACCCTGAAAGTCACCCTCTTGTTTGCGTTAATGAAAAGGTGAAATGATTTTTCTAGGGATGGCAGCGCTAAGACAGGAATAGCGATGGGTAGGTGTTTTAGCTGCTCAACCTAGTGGATTTCATCAGAAGTCCACAGAAGAGGGTCAGGCTTTTCTTGGGTGAGCTGTATTGTTACCATCCCATTGAGGGTCTTGGGCTGGAAATATTTGGTCTGCTGCAGGAATGTTTTGGATGGATGTTCACATTCCCAGACTATTATAGCGGCCCTATGGATCATGCTTCTTTCTTCCCCTGAAAAGAGGATGCCCAGGATGGACATTCACTCAGCCCAAGTATACAGCTGTGGCCCTAAGAATTGATCAATTTGATCTGCAGTCCCATAGGGGTTATTTAATAATGATCTGAGTTCCTCTTTTAAACTTTGGACTTCTGAGCTAGTTAAGGGACCATTAACAAAGCCGATGCTTCCTTCTCCAAGGGGCACTTCCCTTAAGGGAAAGAGAGTTGGAGTTGATTGCTTAGAGGTGGAGGGGAAAGGGAAGTTCTGAATATCTTTGTTGCACTGTTTTATCTCACGCTGGAGCCTTCCTGGGGGGAGACATAGACTCAGGCGTGTGGTTAGGGAGGCCAGAGAACATTGATTCAGGATTACATGGGGGAGGAACTGAGTGAGGAGATTCCTGTGCACCCACTTGGGGCGGGGGATTTGGCAGATACAGGTGGTCTAGTGGGTCCAGATGTTAGTGGGCTGTTCAGGGGTAGAGACCTTACTCCTTTCAGAGGAGCTGGTTTCTGGCTTGCCCCCTATACCTTTAGGGGGTAAAGGAGGACAGGTCCCTGCTGCCAACACAGGGCATAATCTATTTTCTCCTGGGAAACGGGACTCTTGTCATTGACATACTTTATTAAAAGTTGACAAATTTGAATCCTCATTTGACCTAAACTTTGGCCAGAAAACTGAGGGCTCAAGGATGGGTTCTTTGGTCCAAATGAAACAACAATATTTTATCATCTGTTGCTTTCTCTTATGTTTAGTCCTCTCATTATCTTTCCAGTATTATTTTAACATGAGACCTAAGGGACTATTAAGGGGAATGTTATTAGCCTTATACTTTCTGTTTCTTGTCTTACTTGGGATAGTCCCCATCCTGGAGGTTTGGTGTTAGGCTCAATCCTTCATATTAGAGGTTTCTTGCCTTCCCTCTCCCTAGAGGCTTAACCCCACTTACTGGAGGTCCCTTGCACTCTTCTTGTTTCGCTTCACCCTCTATGGCCACTTCCCCAGAGGGACTTTAGGTCCCTCTTAGCACTGGCAGGTTCAGTATAAGCCTTTGACTTTGACTCCTTTATAGGAGGGCCGCCATCAGAAGCCATATGAGGTGACCACGGAACCGCAGATTGGACTTACTCACTCTACACTTAATGTGCCTGAATCTCATTCATGCACTTTCAACCTCCAAGATAACCTGACCACTAGGAATACTTTACCACCCCTGCGGCTTTTCTTACCTTGGTATGTTCTGACCAAGATATACTTCACCGCCCCCTGGCTTTTCTTACTTTGATCTCGACCACCAAGGAAATACTTCACTGCCCCCACGGCTTTTCTAACCTTGGTCTGTGCAGAGTTACTTGGTTGCTGCGGTATCTACTTGTAGGACTTTTCTTCCCGGGTTTATTCGTCATGCCAGGTGGGTCTCAATCTCTTACCCCTGAGGCCACCACAATGAGGCAGTGGGACACGTCTCCTAATGAGAGATGCTTGGAGACCTTTCCCCAGAGGAGAATGGGATCCCAGATGAGCCCCCAAATTTGTTAGAAGAGCTCAAAGTCACAAAGAAAATGAGCACTCAAACAAAAGACTTCTCAGCAAGGCAAATTTCAGAAGGGTGCTGCCTGCATCAGTTACAATCACAAGAGCACACTGAACAAAGGAAAGCAGGGGTTTTTATTCCTAACGCCATTCCTGTTTCTGTGTCCTCCCCTTGTTATCTGGGGTAGGACCACACAATCTAAACTGATCCCGACTGACTAGATTTAGCATTTAGAATAGGACAAAGAACCAGGAAGTTTATTTTTTGTACCTAACAACTTAAAGTAAGGCAGCGTGGGTCGGCTACAAGCTTGGTGGACGGAGGCATGCCTGGGTGTGTTAAAGGCAAGAAAGATTACTTATATACTAGAACAAAAGACAAGGAGGGTGAAACCCTTTGTTTGAAGAGAAACTGTTCCTAACACTTGTGCACAGGAGTTCAAGACAAGAGTGAGGTATGATCACTCCACTGCACTCTGGCCTAGGCTACAGAGCAAGACTATGTCTCAAAAAATAAAAAAATGAGAAAGACTTCAAAGAAATAATGCACCTGAAGGAACCAGAAAAGCAAGAACAAACCAAATCTAAAATTGGTAGAAGAAAAGAAATAATAAACATCATAGCAGTAATAAATAAAATTGAGAATAAAACAAAATACAGATGATCAACAAAACAAAATCAACTACCTTTTAGCTAGGCTAAAAAAAAGATGACTCAAATAAATAAAATCAGAAATGAAAAAGAAAACATAACTGAGACCACAGAAATACAAAAAAATCATTACAGACTATTATGAACAACTATATGCCAACAAATTTAAAAACTAGAAGAAATGGATAAATACTTGGATACATGACTTTCAAGATTGAACCATGAAGAAAGAAAACCTCAATAAGCTGATAACAAGTAATGAGATTGAAGCCATAATAAAGTCTCCCATTCCACTAAATATTAAAATTTTTAAAAATAAAACAAAAAATTAAGTCTCCCACCAAAGAAAAGCCCAGGACCTAATGGCTTCCTAATAAATTCTACCAGTTCTACTCAAACTCTTTAAAAAAAAAATCGAATGTTTTGGAATTCATTCTACAAGGCCAGCATCACTGTGATTCCAAAACCAGACACGGATAAAACAAAAAAAGAAAACTACAGGCCAATACCACTGATTATGAAATTAGATGCAAAATCTTCAACAAAATATTAGCAAACCAGATTCAACCACATATTAAAAGGATCACGCATCATAATCAAGTGGGATTCACCTCAGGAATGCAAGGATGGTGTGACATACACAAACCAATAAACATGATACATCACATTAACAGAACCGAAAACAAAAACCATGATTATTTCAATAGATGCCAAAAAAGCACTTGATAAAATTCAATATACCTTTGTGATAAAAACCGGTAACAAACTGTTACAGATGAAACATAGCTCAAAATTAAAAGGGCCATATATAATAAACCCACAGCTAACATCATACTGAATGGGGAAAAATTGAAGGTCTTTCCTCTAAGGTCTGGACCAAGACAAAAATGCCTACTTTCACCGCTTTTATTTCATATAGTACTGGAAAAGCAGTGAAGTAAAACAAAGAAATAAAGGGCACCAAAATTGAAAAGGAAGAAGTCAAATTAGCCTTGTTTACAGATGGCATGATCTCATACCTAGAAAAACCTAAAGACTTCACCAAAAAAAACTGTAAGAACTGATACATATGCTTAGTAAAGCTGCAGGATCCAAAATCAACATGAAAAATCAATAGCATTATATATACCAACAGTGAACAATCTGAAAAGAAATTTAAAAAGCACCGGGCACGGCGGCTCATGCCTGTAATCCCAGCACTTTGGGAGGCCGAGGCAGGTGAATCACGAGGTCAGGAGTTCGAGACCAGCCTGGCCAACATTGTGAAACCCCAGGTCTACTAAAAATACAAAAAATTAGCTGGGCGTCATGGTGGGCACCTGTAATCCCAGCTACTCAGGAGGCTGAGGCAGGGGAATCAGTTGAACCTGCAAGACAGAGGTTGCAGTGAGCCGAGATCATGCCACTGCACTCCAGCCCTGGCGACAGAGTGAGACTCCGTCTCAAAAAAAAAAAAAGAAAAAGAAAAAGAGAAGAAAGAAATTTAAAAAGCAATCACATTTATAATAGCTACAAAGAATATAAAGTGTATGGGAATCAATTGAACCAAAGAAGTTAAAGATCTATACAGGAAAACTATAAAACACTAACTAAAGAAAATGAACTCACACGTGTCATTCCAGCACTTTGGGAGGCTGAGGTGGCAGATCACTTGAAGTCAGGAGATCAAGACCAGCCTGGACAACATAGTGAAACCCTGTCTCTACCAAAAATACAAACATTAGCCAGGCGCAGTGGCAGGTGCCTGTAATCCCAACTACTCAGGAGGCTGTGAAGAGAACCTGGGAGGTAAAGGTTGCAGTGAGCCAAGATCATGCCACTGCACTCCAGCCTGGGCAACAGAGCAAGACTCCATCAAAAAAAAAAAAAAAAAAAAGGAAATTGAATAGGACCCCCAAAATGGAAAGCTATTCCATGCTCATGAAGTGGAGGAATACTGTAAAAATAACAATACTAAACAAAGTAATCTACAGATTCAGGGACAGGCACGGTGGCTCATGCCTGTAACCCCAGCATTTGGGAGGCCGAGGTGGGTGGACTGCTTGACTACAGCCTGGACAACATGGTGAAACCCAGTCTCTACAAAAACAAACAAAAAAACAAATAAATAAAATACAGACTCTAGGCAATGCCTATCAAATTACCAATGACATTCTTCACAGAAAAAGAAATAGAAAAAAAACCCTAAAAATTATATGGAACCACAAAAGACCCCAAATGGTCAAGGCAAAGAACAAAGCTGGAGGCATCACGCTACTTGACTTCAAATTTACTACAAAGCTACAGTAACCAAATAAGCACGGTACTGGAATAAAAACAGACACACAGAAAAGAAAAAAGAATCCAGGTATAAATTCATGCATTTATAGCCAACTCATCTTCAACAAAGATGCCAAGAACATATAATGGGGAAAGGACAGTCTCTTTAATAAATGATGCTGGGAACACTGGATATCCATATGCATAAGAATGAATGAATGAATGATTTTTTGAGGTTAAGACCTCAAAACCACAGGCAACCAAAGCTAAAAAAGACAAATGAGATTACATCAAGCTAAAAAGCTTCTGCACAGCAAAAAAACACAATCAACAAAGTGAAGAGAAAACTCACAGAATGGGAGAAAATATTTCCAAACTACCCGTCTGACAAGGGATTAATAACCAGGATATATTAAGAGCTTAAACAACTTAATAGCAAAAAAACAAATAATCATATTTTAAAATGGGCACATTTAAAATGGGCAAATGATCTGAACAGACATTTCTCAATAGACCTGTCGAGTGTGGGAAACAATGCCCAGTACATGGTAAGATTCACTAATTGTTAGAAGATCTTTTTGATAATTTTTATGAAACAGTAAAATATGTAGGTTCCTGGCTGTACAGAACAGTCTTTTCTGAATCATTCTTTCTCTTTTCCCTCTTTTATAGTTCTTGTTCCTTGCTTTTTATGACTAGTGTGCTAGTTGTCTCTCCTTATGAGAGGTGGTGGATGGTTTAAGTACAGGTCTATCATCGAGACAAGCTGGAGGTAGGAATAAAAGGAATATGAAAGGGAGGAGATTTAAAGATGCTTCTACCCATTTCTTTTTCTACTTTATAAACCTCTTCTTTTACTGCTTTTACTTTGGATTTTAAAAGCAGTGTCTCAAAGAGATTATACTGTTTTCATAGCAATATTATTCACAATAGCTAAAATATGGAAACAAAGTATCCATTAACGAAATAATGGATACGAAAAATGTGGTATAGACATATAATAGAATATTATTCAGCTTTAAAAGGGTAGGAAATTTTGACATATACTATAACATGGCTGAAACTTGAGGACATGATGCTGAGTGAACCAAGCCAGTCACAAGAAGACAAATACCATCTGACTATACTTTTATGTGGTACTTACGGTAGTTAAAATCAGAGAAACAAAGTAGAATGATGGCTGAGGGAATGAGGAGTTATTGTCTGATGAGGGAATGAGGAGTTATGTCTGATGACTATGGAACTTCAGCTTTGCAAGATGAAAAGAGTCTGTAGATGGATAGTGGTAACGGCTGCATTTCACAAATGTATTTAATACCACTTAACTGTAAACTTAAAATGGTTAGGATAATTGTCCTCGTTTCAGTTTTACAAGATTAGAACAGAGTCTATAGATGAATAGTGGTAGTGGCTGCATCTCATGAATGTATTTAATACCATTTTACTATACACTTTAAAATGGTTAGAATAATCGTCCTCTTTGCGCAGTGGGCAGCATGTCAGTCTCATAAAAATGGTTACCATAATAAATTGTATGTTATGTATATTTTACCACAATAAAAAAAATACTAACCCAAAATGGATTATGAACTTAATCTGAAAAAACAGGAGAAACAGGAGAAAATTTTCAAAACCTAGGGTTAGGCAAAGAGTTATGAGATTTGTCACCTAACTTGATAAATTGGACTTCATCAAAATTAAAAGGTTTTGTTCCACGAAAGATCCTTAAAGAAAGGATGAAAAGACAAGCCACATACTGGGAGAAAATATCTGGAAATGATATATCTGACTAAGGACTAGTACACTATAATAGATTACATAAAGAATTCTCAAAACTCAGTAGTAAAAAGAACCACCCAATTCGAATATGGGCAAAAGACCATGAAGAGACATTTCACCAAAAAAGATACACAGATGGCAAATAAGCACATGAAAAGATGTCCAAAATCATTTGCCATCAGGGAAATGTGGCTACACATCGATGACAATGACTAAAATAAAATGAGGCAACACCAAATGCTGGCAAGGATGTGGAAAAACTCGATCATTCACACATTGCTGTTGGAAATGTAAAATCATACAGCTACTCTGGAAAGCGGTTTAGCAGTTTCTTTAAAAAAACAAGCAAACATGCAACTATCATATGACCCATCAATTTCACTCCCCGGCAATCTCTTGAAAATTATGCTCAGTGAAAAAAGCCAATCCTGAAAGTTTATATATTTATTATTCCATTCATATAGAATTGCTGAAATGACAAAATAATGGAAATAGAGAACAGATCAGTGGTTGCTTTGAGTTAAGAAGGGGATGGGGTGAGAGGAAAGTAGGTGTGGCTACAAAAAGGCCTCGAGTGATCTTTGTGGTGACAGAAATGTTCTGTAGTTTGACTCTATTAACGTCAATATCCTGGTTAGTGATACTATGCTAGAGTTACTACTAGAGGAAACTGGGTTAAAGGCACATGTGATTTCTGCATTATTATTATTTTTTTACAAACATACATGTATCTACAATTAACCCAAAATTAAAGGTTTAATTAAAAAAAAAAAGGAAATGGAAATTTCTGCACACGAAGGAAAGAATCTAAACCCCAAAGAAAGAAGCCTTTTGTAAGAAGGCAGACACTTACCTAAACAGTGTATCTGACAAGCCTAGACTCAGGTGGGCAAAGGAATGGACCTGATACAGATTGAGTGACTTTGATGGTATAAGGAGTGGAGCCTTTAATGACGTGGGCTGGCATGACCAGTTAGAATCTGGAGGATCCTAAAATGGAGAGTTATTTGTCCCCACACATTAGATCGCCTTCATGGGGCATTTACTGAGGGTACAGCAGTGTAGCAGGCTGAGAATGGGGCTATAAAGCCATGAAACATTTCTGCAGTCTCACAGTTCATACACCCTAAAGTCATGCTAGTGGAAAGAACCAATGAAAGACACAAAACTCATCTCCCACCCTCATGACAGCTGAAAACAGAAGCCAGGTGAAAGTAACTAAAGCAGCAACCTAACCCTAAACAAATTCAACTCCTATTTTATCAGCCTCACTGCAGCTTCCTGAAAAGGAAAGAACACTGCTTCGCTTTCAATGGTTCTTTTATACGTTATTTAGAGCACAATAAAAAATTTAAGACATGTAAAGAAGTAGGATAACATAAGAGGAAAACAATCAAAAGAAAACCCACACAGCAGAACCACAGATGTTAGAACTATTATAGCAGAAAAGAACTTTAAAATGGCAATTTTTAAATACACAGGAAAAGATGTACAAATTAGATGCAATATCAAATTTAAGAGAAATAGAAACTCTAAAAAGAGCAAACAGACATTCTAAAAGTTAAAAATACAATAAATGAAATTAAGAAATCTATGACCTATTCAAAGGCTGAGCGTGGTGGCTCATGCCTGTAATCCCAGCACCTTGAGAGGTTGGTGGATCACCTCCTGAGGTCAGGAGTTCAAGACAGCCTGGCCAATGTGGTGAAACCCCACGTTTACTAAAAATACAAAGAAAAAAAAATTAGCCGGGCGTGGTGGCACGTGCTTGTAATCCTAGCTACTCAGGAGGATGAGGCAGGAGAATCACTTGAACCTGGAAGGTGGAGGTTGCAGTGAGCCGAGATCACGCTACTGCATTCCAGCCTGGGTGACAAGAGCGAGATTCTGTCTCAAAAAAAAAAATCTATGACCTGTTCAAGCAATGAGGTAATTTTAAATGCACTATATTCAATATGTAAGAATTTTTCAAATATATTAAATAAAAATGATCCCATTCTTCTGTCACATGCCTCCCCCACACATCTCTAATCCCTCAACACAGCAAAGACTACTAGACAATCACAGCACTTTCAACTTGTTATCAGAATTCTTAGCAAAGACCTCTAGACACCAACACCAATAAGAGGTGGCATTGGAAATAAAACCTGTTTGATTTAGTCAAAACGTAGGTTGCCTTAATCACAGTGCTTATGAAAAAATGTAAAGTCACCACTTTGTAATGAAGCAGGGGACTAGGTGAACTTATAAAGTAAGTGAAAGTGTGTCATTGATTCCTGCCTCCTGCTTTGTCCTATTAAACAAAAACTTTGTGGTAAGGGCTCTACAATGTGAATTAAAAATCCTACCTCCCAGGTATATATTTGAGAGAAATTAGTGGATATGTACACAAAAGGACTTGTATAAAATGTTTTACACAGCTTTCTTCATAACAACCAAAAAGTAGAAACAATTCAAATTCCCACCATGGAATATTACACAGCAATAAAAAGGAACAAGCTACCAGCACGCACAGTAACACAGATACTGAGTAAAAGAAGCCATAATTAATCATATATACTGCATGATTCCATTTATATGACGTTCAAACCTAATCTATAGTGATATGAGTTAAAAAAAAAAAAAAGATTATCTCTGGGGAGGGTGGGCTGTCTTGGAAAGAGCTAATGGGAGTCTTTCTGGAGTACTGGAAATGTTTTGTGTCTTTCTATGGATAGTGATTGCAGTTATAAAAAGGCATCAAGCTGCGTACTTAGATTTGTGCAGTTCACACAGAAAAAATAATGATGATGATGAAAATAACCAGGCTGTGAGGTACGATATCTGCAAATGGCCAATAAACAAGAATCTTTGGGAATTATTAGATGATGTTAAGATACTACTGAACAGGAAGAATGGCGCTAATAAAGAAAGCATATTTTAATGACATGCTAGCTTTATTTGGCATTCTATGTGTCCTATAAAAATCTGTTTAAAATGATTCTTTTTAGATATATCTTCTGCACTAGATGAGAAGTTCATCTGGGGCAGGGGTTAGCAAACATTGTCTGTAAAAGTCTAGAGAGTAAGTATTTTCAGCTTTGCAGGCCATATGCTCACTGCTGCAACTACCCAATTCTGCCACTGTAGCACTAAAGCAGCCATACAAGGTAAGTAAATGAGTGAGTGTGGCCCAATTTGGCCCACTGGCCATAGTCTGCCAACTCCTGATCTAAAGGAAGAACTATAATAGCCTTTGTTTTCCGTGTTTATTTTCTACAGTACTTCACACACAGTAGGCACTCAGCGAAGCTAAAAGGAATCTTTAAAACCGTCTCTTCTAATCCCTCCACTCACGGTGAAAAACATCAATCAGAGGTTTAAATTTGCTCAACAGTACTACTTTTTAAAGCAGTGCCTCATTTTAATAAACATGCAAAGATTTAATAGTGATTTAAATTCCAAATTTTTTTACATGTAAAACATAAGTTTCAGAAGTTCAGACATTTTACATAGCATAAACTAAAAATAATTAGTTTAGAAAAATGTATCTTTACCTATAGTTTGGTTATAAGTTATCAATACGAGCTTTCAGTCACACAACCATAAGGGATCAATCTAGGAAGTACTAAAACCTCACCATATAAAATGAGGAGCTAAGACTAAACGAAACTTTCTCCAGGACTCAAGTTTTTCTAAAAGCCAAAATGGTAATGAACTTATTTAATAGTAGTTAGCATTATTAGGAAACACTTGATTATAACTTAACTAAATTATAAGGAAAACGTTTAACATAATTATACTTCAACACAGTAATATGATCTACACTAAAAAATTCTATTACAGGTTACTGAACATTTTTACGTGGCAGTCAAACAATCAGCCAACAGTAGAGGGCAGCATTTCTATTCACTATTAAAACCTAACTTAAAAAATTTGAAGTCTTTTAAAAAAAATCTAAAAAATCTGAAATACCTGTACTGAGACTTTCTTTTAACATATTTAATACCCCTTTCAAAGCTTCTAACATACAATTTTAATACAACCTACAAGTGAAAGTACCCTAATATAAATATGAATATTTAAATAAAAGATAGCTGTTTTACCCAAAGGAGTCAAATTTTGTATTCATAATTCCCAAACTGATAAACCAAAACAATTCAACAGTTCTCTGGTGACTTAATTCCTAAAATTCTATCAGTTATGTTAAAACAAATTTGCTGGGCACCCACTGGAATGACAAACATCCCCACACACGGGCATACATTTTCTTTACCCATATAAAGAATCACCAAAAGAATCATGAACTTTTGGCAAGTAGGAGATTCAGGGAACTGTTTCAGAAGACAAGGCAAAGCATCACTCTAAAATCTAAAATAAAGGCAGCAAAAAGAGGCTGACAAAGCAGAAACAGGTATGGGTAAAAGCATCTTTCAAGCTCCTTCTCTTTCATAATCCTTTTATTCCTATCTCCAGCTTGCCTTAATGAAACACCTGAACTTAAAGAAAGACATGATCCTATTACAAGAAATTCTGGTACTAAAGTTACTCTCAGAAGTTACTTGACAGCTGGGAAACCTCCATGCTAAAGAACACGAAATGCCCTCAGCTGCGGTTTAAGCAGAGTGCTTTATTGCTAACATAAGAAAATATACCATATATAACAATAATCCTAAATCACTCTTGTTGGGCCTTTTATGCTCTGAGTTAATTTTCCTACAGTGATTACGAGCCTGACAAAAATGACACTTCACTGCCTGGCCTCTAACAATATTAACTCCACCTCAACGGACATGTTTGCAAAGCAGCTAGCTAAGAACACAAGAACTTACAAACACAAAAATAAATCTCTCTTAGACATTATGTGGAAAAGCACAAAATACTGTAACCAAGCTGATTAAAGTACATAAAAATGTATATAAGTGTATGAACAATAATCAGAAACGCTGCCATGCTAGAAATGCTCACTAGCATCTTTTTGTCCCACAAAATATCTAAATCCAGAAGAGTATTTTTTTTAACTCGAAGAGAAGTACATTTTCATTTTCACTAAAAGGCAAAACAAAACAAACATTACACTTGGATTTAAAACATATTAATCAGAAAAGGAATACAGAGCTATTTATGACAGCCTTAAATTAGTAAATGGCATTAATACTACTGTAAATGGAGACCAAGATTTGGCAGTTCAGTAGCAGTGATGGTTTAGTCATCACATCTCACAACCTTGTCATTTGCAAACGTTTTAAAGTCAGATTCTTCATTGTGAAGAACATATAGTTATGGGGGGGCGGGGGGGAACAACCAAAAAACTAATCATCATTGCTTTAGCTCAACCCACATGCCTGTACTTAAGGGTATCCATGGTAGCAATGATGCAACGTGCCTACCTAGTTCACCGTGCCTACACAAGTGGGAGAGAGGGGAGGCGGATGATGAAAAAAATTTCACTTGGAAAGGTGTTTTAGTATTAACATGATAAAATTACATCAACTACACTGTCAGACTTTTAAAACACATATAGAATCACAAAGCTCTCTAAGACCAGAAAAGGGAGAAAAGAACAAGGGATGGGGTACACACCGCAGCCTTTAGTTCAAAAGAAAATCAAGAATTTTGCTCTTCCTGCTAGAGCCATTGGTTAAATATGTTCAAAGGGTTTATTTCTAATAATAGAACAAATTATTTTAATTTAGTTTTTTCAAAAGCAACTACAAACAATGTTTTAGGCTTCTAATTTCCAACCTACATCCTTCTCTATTTTTGCTTTAACAGTTATATAATAAAAATTTATAAATACTTTAGGATAATGATTACATCTAATTTTTTAAGCAAAATAGACCCTCTTTTGCTAAAAGAGTCAATGTAAAAAAATTCAAAGTCTATCAAGGAAGATGGAGCAGAGAGAGGAGATAGATCATTTCAAATAACCTTGCTATAATACTGGAAATAAAACCAAAATGAATGAAATGATAAAAGGCAAATCACAGGGGAGAACCAACATAGACAACCATGAAAAAAATTTAGAGAGGGAAAAAGCAACAACGACCCTGTTTTCCAGGATTATGTGCCCTTTAAACATTCAGTAAGAATATTTCAACAAGACAGTTTACCTAGAGGTACAGAGAAGACATCTCCTTATAAACAGGGAATGGAAACAGATAATGGGCATGTCTGTATCCGATCAGAAACTACTGTTTGAACTAGAACTCTGAGCAACAAGAAAAGAAAACTAATTTCCATCAATTTTCCTGCTTTTCCTCTTATGAAAAATAATTCATTATACAGAAAGAGTAATAGCCTCTACTTTCAGAATTTACAAATTTACCTACTCTTTTATTACTGAATGTAATTTTAAAATCTCAACAAGTTTGTCTAGCAATCACTATGAGACATCGTAAGTGCATAGAAATAAAAAAAGGTAAATTATTCCATATTTTAAAAACCAATGGATGAATTTTAAATGTAAGCACGCTGAATCTATAACACCATCACACAATGTCTGCAAACTGGTGCTCAAAAATAAAAGAAGCCAAACTTAGAGATTAAGTGAAGCATGCTGCACTTTGAACACAATGAGCAAAACAGACTTCAAAACAAGTACTTTCAAGGAGTGCTTGTACAAGTCTAATCATTTTAAATCCACATCAACATCTTTCTAAAGGCAACACAATCAGCACTTGACTATTTTCCTCTTCCTAAAAAAACAAAAAATTAACTATAATTATAATAGATGGAAGAGTCCAGAAAATGCTCTCAAAACGAGTTATACTTTCAACTAGCATGGCATGTTGGGACACAAAGGGGAGAAGAGTAGCTCTGAGAATACACTGAGAAGATTTAAATATAATCAGGACTTTACAGACCCTTGCTGCTGGGAGAAAGGCTTCCTGTAAATCTCAGGGAAAAAACATCTGTGCAACACGCTTTTGGCTATCTAAAACACATTTCAAAATACCGCCCTTTCTAAAGGATATAAACTAAGCATCACATGGATTCACACATCTATTTTCAAATCTATAACAATGGTTACACCTTATTTTTAAAAGACACTGAACAAAGGGTCTCTCACATCTGTCACTAACAATGAAATACAGAAAAGCATATTATATCTTACCTTTGTGGTTACAATGCACAGGCAATCCATTACTCTACCATTACAATATTTTATACATAAAGCAAAACTATTTTAAGTTGCCTAGTTGAACAAAACATGTAAATAAAAATAAATAAAGCTGTGAGATAAAACCATAAATGAAGAAGTTATAACTGTAACTAGATCTCTCCAGGATCCATTCTTAGAGGTAGCAATTTTTCTACTATCTAAAATACAAGAAACCAGAGTCTGTCACGTGCCCTACAATCTTCTTTATGTAATCTGTATCTGAAGAACTTGAAATTATCCCACAAAACACTGTGGAAGATGTCAGGGTTTATTCCACAAGAGTCCACTGCTTCTTCAGATGCTGTTTCATTAATCCCTCTTTTCAAGATATGAGGTTGACAGGAAGTCATCTGATGAAATGCTCCACAAAGAGGTTCCCCCGATATAAATTTAAATCTGCTTCTCCTCGTTAGCTACAGTTTGGATACTCAAATGACAACCACCAAAAAAAAAAAAAAAAAAAAAAAAAAAAAAAAAATCACTAAAAATATGCAAGCAAACATTTCTTCCACTAAACCATTTCAGCAACTGCAGCCTGCAAAGTAATGACTTTCTCGAGCAGTAATGAATGGAATATTCCATGTGGTTTTTTGAGAAGGGGAGCAGGAAAAACAAAATACAATAATTTAAAATATTATCTCTAAAACTTGCCTTTTTTTCTTTGCTAAAAAAGTGAATAAATAACATTTTACCAACAAAGGCAAATTTTAACTTTACTGCCTTACTAAATCCATTTCACTGATCCCCCACACACCAAAAAAAACCACCACAAAAAGATAGTTACAACTATGTAACCTTTCAAACTCCTCAAGAAGTCTTTGTTTTTAAGTCAACTAACTTTGTGAATTCATGTCCTGTCTCCAAGATCATTAGGACTGGAGCTAGATAGGCTAACAGACACAGGGGACATGGCAGAGGGATATGCAACTGGCTTTCAGTATCATAAGCTTCCAGCCACACTCCCCTATACAAATGCCATAGTGAAGTTAGCTACATGTGGTGGCCTGCGCCTGTAGTCCTAGCTACTTGGGAGGCTGAAACTGGACAATGGCTTGAGCCCAGGAGTTTGAGGATGCAGTGAGCTGTAATTGCAGCACTGCACTCCAGCCTGGGCAACAGGGTGAGATCCTGTCTGTAAAAACCTTTAAAATCCAAGAAATTTTCTAACAAATTTTTAATGCATAATAAGGAAGAGTATTATCTGCAATTTTTGTCCACAAAGTTTCCTCACAGTTTACAGATATTATGAATGACCTCAAGTTCAAACAACTGAACTGTTCCTACTTGCCTCTTATACCCCATTCCTCCTCCTAACATTTCAAATACACATGGACTGCACTAACAACTTTCAGACTAAACCACATTTCACTGTTAAGCGTTATGAAAAGGAGTTAATACATAGATACCATTTGGTAGAACCTATCAAATAGTAAGCATTATCAATGTTGTTATTACTATTATTAGTATGTATCAAATTACAGCCTTTTATTTAAAGCCTAACAGGGTATACTTGAGACAGGCCCAATGGGACTTTACCTTACTTTATCTAATGGGGCTGTTGTGTGAGGATTAAATAATATACACAGGGCACTTAGAATAATGCTGACTTGTTAGGTCAATAGTGGCAATAAATAGTGCAACAGTGCTCAGTAAATGCCAGCTACAGCTATAGATCTATTGTGGTATAATATGAAATATATTCGGTCTTTGTTTCTGTCAGAGTGCCTAAAACTCTTGGAAATTCCTAAGTAATGGGAAGGTCTTCTTTTGTTCATGACAAGCCCTTTGGATCACAGCTAATGCTAATGAGGTAACTTAAAGTGAGACCCCTAGAAAGCCTCAGGATGAGGCTCATCACCAGAAAGACCACGGGATTAGAGGATTAGAGGGTTAGAGGGCTGGAACTTTCAGCTCCACCCACCAACCTCCAGGAAAGGGGCAGGGGTTGGGGGCTGGAGATCAAGCTCTATAAAAACTCTTAACAACATGTGATGTGCTTTTGGGTTGGCAAAGGCAAGCTGGGAAGGCTGAGGACTCCAACTCTACCAGGATAGAAGCTCCTGCACTTGGGACCCTTCCAGACCTTGCCCTATGTATCTCTTTTTCTGGCTGTTCATCTGTATCCTTTATAACATCTTTTATAATAAACTAGTAAACGCATTTCCCTGAGTTCTGTAAGCCATCCTAGCAAATTAACCAAACCCAAGGAAGGGGTTGTGTGAACCCCAATTTAAAACTAGTCAGTCAGAAGCATAGGTCACAATCTACTATTTCCATCTAAATGGGGGCAGTCTTGTGGGGCTGAGCCCCCAACCTGTGGGATCTGACACTATACTTCAGAGACTACTACTATCTCCAAGTAGACACTGCCAGAACTGTATTTACGTAGAGACTACTACTACCTCCAAGCAGATAGTGTCAGAATTGAATTATAGGACACCCAGTAGGTGTCCACTGGAAAAGCTTCACCAAAAACCTCCTCACACATCTAGTCAGCACAGAAGTGTGCTGTGTTGAGAGCAGAGGGAAAAAATGGTTTTTCTCCTCTCAGACCTAAATACATATGTATGTAGCTATGTAAATGTCATCATGGGCCAACACATCCCTTATCCCATGCAGGATATAGCCTGGAAATTACATGCTCTGTTGAGTACTCCCTTTTCCCCACCCCACCCCTGCAATTATCATTTGCTCCCAACATGAAAGAGTAAAGCTCATATAAGGCTCAAGGCTCATAACTCCCTAAATAAAGTTTATCATTTTTAAGCAGAATACTGAAAACAATGGAAGTGATATCTAAGTACTGACTAGGCATTGCATTTTGCGAAGAAAAATAAGGAGGTATGTAAAACCCTTTACCTGGTTGCTCTCTTAGTATTCTGAAGTTTCTCTTGTGAAATTTTTATCACATCTAGAGTAGTCTAGCCCAGAGAGGGCAGGCATCCCTAAGTTTGGCAGACTTCATAATAGAAAAGGCTGAAAATCACTACGGCAAGTTAGAAATATCATTCAGCCTGTGTAACTTAAGCAGTCATTTTCTTCGGGGGGGTGGGAGGAGGGTCTCAACTTCCTCTTTTGTAAAATAAAAAAACTCAATGACTCCTAAGAGTCCTTGAATTTATACCATGCCTATGTTTCAGTTTTTAAATCCGTTGGATTCTAAGGTCCAACAGGACAAGACTCAAGAATGTCTCATGAGGCTGGGCATGGTAGCTCACACCTGTAATCCCAGCACTTTGGGAGGCCAAGGTGGGAGAATCACTTGAGGTCCGGAGTTCGAGACCAGCCTGGCCAACATGGTGAAATCCCATCTCTACTACAAATACAAAAATTAGCCAGGCGTGGTGGCGCATGCCTGTAATCCCAGCTACTCGGGAGGCTGAGGTGGGAGAATCACTTGAACACAGGAGGTGGACACTGCAGTGAGCCGAGATCTCACCACTGCACTCCAGGCTGGGCGACAAAGTGGGACTCCATCTCAAAAGAAAAAGAAAAAAAAGAAAAGAAATGTCTCAAATACCTACCACTTTATCCCCATCATCTTGGGGGATAGCAGGGTGACCACAATGTTTGCTGAATTAATGAGTGGCCTTTCTAATATTTAAACTATAGGTGATTACAAAATTGAAAACAGCCTGAAACAATCCTGAAAATTAGACATTCCATTTTCCCAGTAAAAATAGAAGTTTGCCAACTCAATTACAAACCTGTAAGAATAAGATGAAATAGTCAAATATCCAAATTAATCAGTTAACATATAATTACTTAACAACACATTAAAATAGTATGTCTAATATATTATTCCAGTCACATTTCAAAGAACAAATTTTAGTTAAACTCCTCACATTCATCTCCGATGTCTAGGGTCATCATAACCACAACCACTTTTTAATGATCTAATCTCTGTGACCTCAAACATCAGTTTTATACGGTTTAAGTTGTTTGAGATATGGCCCTTTCTGAACTACAACGTCACTTGACCATTTATCCCTAATTACTACTACAGATTGGGTATCCCTAATCCAAAAATCCACAATCCAAATGCTCCAAAATCCAAAATCTTTTAAGTGCCAGCATAACACTCAAAGACAATACTCGTTGGAGCATTTCAGATTTTGTTATCTTTTGTTTTTTGAGATGGAGTTTCACTCTTGTTACCCAGGCTGGAGTCCAATGGCACAATCTCAACTTACTGCAACCTTTGCCTCCCAGGTTCAAGCGATGATTCTCCTGCCTCAGCCTCCCGAGTAGCTGGGATTACAGATGCCTGCCACCACGCCCAGCTAATTTTTGTATCTTTAGTAGAGACGGGGTTTTGACATGTTGGCCAGGCTGGTCTCAAACTCCTGACCTCAGGCGATCCACCTGCCTCGGCCTCCCAAAGTGCTGGGATTACAAGGGTGAGCCACTGTGCCTAGCCACGTTCCAGATTTTGAATTTTCAGATCAGGGATATTCAACCAACAAGTATAATGCAAATATCAAAATCCAAATAAATCCAAAATCCAAAACGCTTCTGGTCCCAAGTATTTTGGATAAGGAACACTCAACTTGTAGTGCTCATTCACAGAAGAGGAAGCCACTTTCCCCTGTACTGTAGGCGTGTATTTATAACCTTCATGATGTAACTAACCCCTTACTATATTATTTTTTAATATACCTAATAATCCTTCAAAAAAGCTTGCATAGATCTAATACTTACAGGTTTTAAGGCTGTACTCAGGGAATGATTATTCAATTTGTGTTAAATTCTACACTAACTGCATCTTCTGTAAGTATCTGTAAGTACCCAACTGGCACTGAGTAAGGTACATTTCAAGCCTATGTGTTCTCTTCAGATGGTCATTTGCTGTTAAAAGTAATTTAGAAATCACCCTGTAATATGAGCTACTTTAGAAGGACTTGAAATATAAGCCTTTTGGGATGGCAACACTTCACCTAATAGGCACATAAGATAATTAACAGTATTTTAGAATACCAATGGCTTTCCATAAACAAGCAATTGCTGCCAACCATAATGGAATAAAAAAAAAGACTGACTTTCAGACACTGGACCCTGTGAGAAGAGAAACTAATGAGGTGAGTCCTGTAAATGCCCAGAAAAAGTTTCCTGGCTGTAGCAGAAGGGGGAAACTCAACGAAACCCAGCAGCCTTAAGTTGAGGAGAAAGCGTTGAGAATAAACAGAGCTAAAACTCACAGGTAAGAGTACCAGAAAGGAGAGAGCGGGACAGAAAAAGCTCCAGAGATCTGCAGAGTTCCCCTCGAGTCTTCAGATTAGTTTTGATCAGTACATGCATGTAAGGAAACTTCAAGGTGAGGAAAAAATCTTAGAAAGCAGCAAATGGAACAAAACCCAGAGCTCACGCAAGGCCAAGAATAATGAAAACTCATAATATACTGGGCAGTGGGGATAGCCTTCTACAACCAAATGTTGCTCAGTCCCACTGAAAAAGCTTAAAAGCAGCCAGGCGCGGTGGCTCACACCTGTAATCCCAGCACTCTGGGAGGCCAAGGAGAGTGGATCACGAGGTCAGGAACTCAAGACCAGCCTGACCAACATGGTGAAACCCCGTCTCTACCAAAAATACAAAAATTAGCCAGGCGTGGTGGCACATGCCTGTAATCCCAGCTACTCAGGAGGCTGAGGTAGGAGAATCACTTGAACCCAGGAAGCGGAGGTTGCAGTGAGCCGAGATCATGCCACGGCACTCCAGCCTGGGCAACGGGGCAAGACTCCGTCTCAAAAACAAACAAAAAAGCAGTCTGAATGGCATCAAACTCTTTCCAAGTCATTTAACTACATCCCAAAACAAAGCTCAAGAATATTTAAAAGAATAAAAAAATATCTAGGCCCCCAAAAGGTAAAATTCACAACGTCTGCCAAATTCATCCAAATTATCAAGCATGTAAAGAAGCAAGGAAACACGATCCAGAGAAGAGAAAAAAAATCAATCAATAAAAACTGACCCAGAAATGACACATAATAGAATCAGTAGACAAAAACATTTTAAAAGTTACTTTAACTCTGTCCCTTATGTTTATGAAGACAGAGAAGGATAGAGTGTGTTAATTAGACAAAAATAAAAACGAAACTATCGAGACCAACCTGGGCAATCCAGCAAGACCCCATCTCTGCCAAAAAATTAAAAAAAAAAATTGCCCAGCCTGGTGGTATACATGTGTAGCCCCAGGTACTTGGGGAGGCTGAGGCAGCAGGACTGCTTGAAGCCAGGAGGCTGAGGATGCAGTGGGCCATGACCACATCACTGCACTGCAGCCTGGGCGACGCAGCAAGACCCTGTCTCCAAAAAGAAGGAGAGGGAGAGGAGAAGAGAAGAGAAACTAAATCAAGCTTCTAGAGGTAAACTGTCTGAAATAAAAAACTGACTGAGATTAATAGTATACTAGATACTTGAGAAGATTAATGAACTTGAAGACATAGCAACAGCAATTGTCTAAAATTTAACATACCAACGAAAAAGACTGAAAAAAGATTAATCATATCAGTGAACTGCAGACAAAGTCAACCAAACCAATATACAAGTACTGGAATCCCTGAAAGCAAAGGGGAAGGAAGAGAAAAAATATTTGCAGAAATAATTGGTGAAAAACGTCTAAAGTAGGTAAAAACTATAAACCCACAGATCCAAGAAACTCAATGAATCCCAGGCACAAGAAAGGTAAAGAAAACTGTAACTATAAACAGTACATGTGAGTGACAAGCACCAAATTCAAGACAGAGGTTAATTCTGGGGAACAAGGCAGGAGAACGTGATTACAGTGGAAAACACAAGAGACTTCAGCTATACTTACACTATGTTATCTTCTTAAGGTAGTAGTAAATACATGGATATTTATAATATTCACTACAGTTTCTCCATGATTAAAATATTTTTTTAAAAAATAACACAAAATGAAGGAAAACCAACAGGTCAAATAGTTGCCAAGAAGATAAAAAATTTTCAAAAGCAGAGTAGAGAGTAGCAAATGCCACCAAAAAATCAGATAACATATGCGAACAGCTTCTGTTTTGCCCTTGGATCCTTTTCTCTTTTGGAATCTCACTCTCCCTTCATACAATGTCTATAATCTCTTTTTCCATCTTGGGCCTCTGTTCCCTTCTTCACTTTATCTTGTAAATATAATATGTTCACAGAGGCCATTAGGAGAAAGACAGGGGGAGAAAGCACTTCTTAGTAGGACCCTATAGCATTCCTTCTCTTCTTAGCTAAGCTTCTTGAAAACGTAGTTTGCCTTTTTTTCTTCCCATTCCCAATATTCTGTAACCCAGATTCTGACCCTCCTTCTCCACAGTAACTGTTCTCTTTTTTCCTTTATTTACCTTAAAAAAAATTATCTAACTACACAGGTAATTCAGGCACACCTTAAACATACTTACAAAGACAGATGCATAATGCTGAAGTCTTTTTTTATATTCTTTTCCCGAGATAACCTCTTTTAACCATTTGGTATGTATTTGTTCAGCTAATCCTATATGTTTATTATTACTTTGGGTCCTACTGAGAAGTACTTTTTTCTGTTTGTCTGTTTTTCTAATGGAATCTTTGAACATATTTACAGGATAAAATAAAGAGGGGAACAGAGGCCCAAGACAGAGAAAGAGGTTATAGATATTCCATAATGAAAAAGGACAGTGGGATTCTAAAAGAAAAAAGGATTAAGAGCATAACAGAGCTGTTAGTATTTATTCTCTGATATGACTTTCACATAATTGAAAACATATAAAGTTAGGAAATTTTGCAATAAACATGTATCACTTTGGAAATCCAAAAAACAGGAGAGGTGAGGAGGTTTAGGAGCACATGAGATATCACTGCTCTAATACTAAAAATAGTAATAAGCACAGATACAGATATAGAGCAATCAAGATTATTTAAATGATGAGTTACTGAAAATGTCACATAATCAAAACTCATAATTCAAAACTAATTGGGGGTGTCTTCTAGGAACACATAAGTCTAACCAATGTGACATACTTAAGCTTTCACATAGCCTTTCATTTTCTCAGTAACTGTGTAAAGTTTTGCTGAGTTTTCTCCTAGATTAACAGCTTTTTTTTTGGCATAATATGACAGTTGTTCCACTTCTCTTATAACATTTCTTTTTTTGGAGACAGGGTCTTGATCCGTCGCCCAGGCTGGAATGCAGTGGACTGATCACAGCTCACTGCAGCCTTGACCTCCTGGGCTCAAGCAATTCTCCCACCTCATCCTCCCACGTAGCTGGGACTACAGGCATGAAGGCACCAACCACGCCTAATTTTTTTTTTTTGTAGGGATGGGGTCTCCCTATGCTGCCCAGGCTGATCTATACTAAATTTATAGAAAAATGTTTTTCTTTCTTCAGTAATAAATTAACCTTGGCTTACTGTAACCTTTTTACTTTATAAATTAAATTTTTTAACTTTTTGACTCTTTCACCTTAACATTTAGCTTAAAACACAAATACACTGTATAGAGGTACAAAATTTTTTCTTTCTTTATATTCTGATTCTATAAGCTTTTTTCTATTTTTTAATTTTTTTTTTTACTGTTTAAATACAAACACACACTTTTAAATACTGTTAAAAACAAACACACACACACCCGTTAACTTAAGCCTACCCAAGGCCAGAATCATCAGTATCACTGGACAGTACCACTGAAAGGTCTTCAGAGGCAATAGCATGCATGGAGCTATCGCCACCTACGAAAACAATGTCTTCTTCTGGAATACCTCCTGAAGGGCCTGCCTGAGGCCGTTTTACACTTTACTTTTTTCTAAAATAAGTAGAAGTGCACTCTATAAAATAACTACTAAAAGTACAGTAGATAAACTAGTAACATAATTGTTAATATTTATCAAGTATTATGTACTGTACCTAATTATACGTGCTATGCTTTTATGACTGGCAGAACAGGTTTATTTACACCAGCATCACCACAAACACTTGATATACGTCATGCTACAATGTTATGACAGCAAAGATGTCACTAGGAGATATAAATTTCTCAGCTTGATTATAACCTTAAGGGATCCCTACTTAACATGGTCTGTGGCTGGCCAAAACATCATCATACCACATATTACTGTATTTCTATAGCTTTTTTAAAAAAATAAACGTTGCCTGTTACATTTCTATCTCTATTAAAATTAGTTCTTTCTCTCCTTATTTTAACTTTATTGCAGTATTTTCCTTTGTCTAGGTAACAAGTCCAATTGCCAAGAAAGTTACTAAACAAAAATGGAAACATCAGTCTTGAAGCCTGAAGTTCTGAATTCTAATCAGTTTTTCTATAGGTTAATACTGCAACGTTGGGCAGTACCAATATCCCTGAATGACAGTTTGATCAATTCTAAAGTAAACACAGTATAAGCTCCACGTATTAAGAACCAAAATCTGGCTCACCTCGTGTATGTTAGGAGGCTATAGCAAGAATGAATTCATGCTCCTCTAACATCCCAAATTATTACAATGTATGTGATGTGCCTTTTAAAACTATGCTATTTGAAAAATAAGGTTATTATTTTAATCCGTTCCTGTGGAACACGTGAGTTTAAGAAAGGAAGACAAAGCATATTGTATTCATTTTAAAATATTAATATTGTAAACTATTAATACAATATTTTGCATTAATATTTTAAAATGAATACAATATGTGCTTTCTTCTCACGCGATATTTCTCAAATTTTATTTTACCAGTTCTGGGGCAAAAGGCTAAAGTTGGAAGAATGTGTCACCTGCCTGTCCACTTTCTTACCTCTCAAAAATAACACCTCAAAGAAAAAGCAACCCCTAGGAATAGAAAAATGGAAACCATCGTTATGCGTGGATTCTAGTTCAGGAGCAGTGAAAACTCAAAATAAACTTGGGAAAATTGTTGGAAGGCAAGGACATGCTCAAAGACTAGTAAAGCATATCCTAAGAAAACACAGATACTCCTTCAAGTGATTCGTCTAGTCAAATATGAAGTAATATGAGCACCCAAACTTAAATGTATGTAAACATTTAGTAAATAAAAATTTCTCGGTATACAGTGATAACTTTGTAAAGAGAGAGATCAAGAAAAAGGGGGAACTTAGCAACCTCTGGAGGGGATTATCACACAAGCTACTCAAATAACTGATCATTAAAAGAAAGTAATGTAAACTTTAGCCTGTCTTTTTAGAAGGAACAGAAGTTCATCCCTAGTTGATGAAGAAAAAGAGTGTTATAGAAGAATGCCAACTAATAACTACAAACAGAATGATTAAATTAGGGAGAAAAATAACATTTTGAAACCTCAAATGTAGTGATTTGGCAATGATCACCAATGGGGGGAAACTGACTCACTACAAGGTGCCAAAGTACAACCCCATACACACTTCACAATATCAACAAGAAAAACGTACCTTTCCCGTGGAAGATCTGGAGGTCCCCACCTTTACGCAATCCAACTCAGCACCACAAGAGCAACAACCTGATATTGTGAGCCTCCTGATGATGCAATATGAAATACAACACTGTGTATCACTGTGAGGTCTGCTTACCAAAAACGAGTCTCATCAACCTTTACACCTAACTTCCTCTTACCAGAAATACAAGGATTAGTGGAATGAGTTAAATAACATAAGGAAACAAATGAGACAAATAAAGAATGTGTGATAGTCTATAAAACAACTGGCATGGTCTCTTCAAAAAGGTAATGTCATTTAAAGGGGGGGAAAAGAAGATAAGGAAGACTATTCTATCAGATTACAAAAGACTAGAGACACTGTACCAGATTTGGTATGTGTATTCCCAACCCATTCCAACAGTCACCCCCAGATCTTCACACCTACCTTTCATCCTGAGCAGCCCCAGGAACACTTCATGCCTGTGGCCCCCAGTCCACATCTCCTCCTCTCACCCCCTCACTTGGGGCTTTCCTGATAAATCACCTACACTGACAAATCCACAACCCTAAAGTATGGGGGAACTGCTGCCCACTAGAAGCCAGTAGATAAATTCTTTCTCTTTCCTTGCAGAGTCCTAACATGCAGTACAAATGGCTTCTCAGGGATGCAATACCAAGGATACAAAAATCAGTCACACTTAGTGGCAGGAAGCATCCTTGTATTAGTTTTTCCCCTTCCTATACTATCTTCACACTTTCCCTCACTTCTGCTCTCTAGGAATGAACTCTCTAAATAAATTAATAGCACCTAAGCCCTCTGCCTCAGGTTCTGCTTTTAGGAAAACCCAGTTAAAAACAGACACCTAACAATCAAATGCATAAATGGCATGTGTACTGACACCTAACAATCAAATGCATAAATGGTATGTATTTGATTTATCTGCTTTATCTGATTTTTTTCAAGTCCCACAAAATAGACTGGGGACAATTTTGAATAGAGATTGGAGAGAAAACTGAACAATTATTGCTAATTTTCTCAGATGTGGTAATGGTACTAAGATAACACAGAAGAATATCTAACTATTCTTACTCTTACGAGATGCGTGCTGAAGTTTTAATAGTTTAAGTGCATGATGTCTACGACTGATTTTCAAATAGTTCCAAAAAATACACACATACAGGAAAAGCAAGCACAATCTTGTCTGTGAGAAAGACTAGGTGAAGGCAAAAAACTGTACCCAGAGGATACGAGCCACCTAAGAATACACAAAATGCACACACCTCAGACATCTACCAGCGACTTTAGTTTATGGGAGTTTTATGATCCACACTCCTCTACAACTGGTGCTACTATAAGTTCTCATCCAATTTCAGATAGCTCCCCCAGCTAACACATCACAGTAACTCACAAGCTGCAACTCTTTGCAACACACTCCTATAAGCAAAGCTGAGTTTTTTTCCAAGGTAAGATGCCAAATTGATTGTAGTATTCACATATTTATTCACCACTTAACATGCATAAACTGGGCACAGTGGCTCACGCCTATAAACTCAGCTACTTGGGAGGCTGAGGCAGAGGATAGCTTGAGCCCGTTAGTTCAAGGGTGCAGTCAGCTATGATCACACCACCTCACACTAGCCTGAAGAACAAAGCAAGACCTCCTCTAAGGAAAAAAAAAAGAAAAAAAAAAGCATAAAACTGTGCTGTTGTTTTTATTAGGTTTTAATCTCTTTTAATATGTCACTCACAAAGTTTTAAGTGTTTGGTCCCTGCCCTCATTTTTGAAATAACACCTGTGGTTTTCATTGTGCCATTTTTCATAGTGTGGTGATTTTTAGGAAAGTTATCTGTTGTTACAGCAGACCTGAATGTAAAAGAATGTTCAATGCAACACTAATCAAAACTGGAAACAATCCACATGACCATCAATGGCAGAATGTGTAAATATATTCTGGTATATCATACAATGGAATATCATACAACAGTAAGGATGAAAAAACTTTACCTACATAGATGAAATGCACAAATATAAGAAAAAAGAAGCACACAAGGGGGTATATACACTGTGTAAGTCTCTTTATATGCAATTTAAAAGAACGCAAAACTAATCTATGATGTTGGAAATTTGGATGGTCCTCTGAGGAAGAGGGGATAGGTAGTAAATAGGGAGAGTACAAGGAAGACTTCTGGGGTACTGGTATTTTTCTTTTTTAAACTGAGATAAAATGGACATGCTATAAAATTCACCAAATTTTAAAGTGTACAATTCAGTGATTTTTGATATTTTCATAGACTTGTACAACTACCATCACTATCTAATTCCAGAACCTGTTAGCAGTCATTCCATGTTCTTTTTCTTGACCTGGTATATTCACAATGCAGTAATTAATCAACCTATTCCTTTATTATTTGTGTATCTTTATGTAAGAATATTATACAGTATTTCAGTAAATTTTTTGTCAATGTTTAGAGGACTTCAGATTAAACCTGGTACACTGAATATATGTGTGTGTGTGTGTGTGTGTGTATGTGTGTGTATATATATATATTTTTTTCTTTATTTTTATTTTTATTTTTTTTTGAGACAGTGTCTTGCTCTGCCAGCCAGGCTGGAAGACAGTGATGTGATCTCGGCTCACTGCAACCTCTGCTTCCCAGGCCTCCTGCCTCAGCCTCCCAAGTAGCTGGGATTACAGGTGCCCGCCACAACAACCGGCTAATTTTTGTATTTTTAGCAGAGATGGGGTTTCACCATGTTGGCCAGGCTGGTTTCGAACTCCTGACCTCAAGTGATCTGCCCGCCTCTGCCTCCCAAAGTGCTGGGATTACAGGCGTGAGCCACCGCACCCGGCTGAATATATACTTTTAACTCTACTGCCTCCTAAAACTCCACTCAAATTAAAGCAGATGGCTTATTTTAAAATATTAAACCACAAGGTCAAAGAGAAAGGGAAAAGTATCCCTTAACACCATTCAGTCAGAAAACTCCCCTCCCAATAAGATAAACACTGAAGGGCTGAAAGGGGGGACTTGTAAATAACAGGCACAACTTTTAAAAAGCTGTATGCAAAAATTAACATAAAAAAATCAGTAGTATTTCTATAGACCAACACCAAACAATCCAAAAAAGAAATCAGGAATACAATCACATTTATAATAGCTACCAAAAAAAAAAAAAAAACCAAAACAAACCTAGGAATAAATTTAACCAAAGTAGTAAAAGATCTCAACAATGAAAACTCTAGAACACTGCTAAGACAAAGTGAAGAGGACACAAAAAAAATGGAAAGATATCCCATGTTCATAGATTGGAAAAACTAATATTGTTAAAATGTCCATACTAACCAAAGCAATATACAGATTCAATGCAATCCCTAATAAAATACCAGTGACATTCTTCATAGAAATAGAAAAAACAAGCCTAAAATTCATATACAATCATAAAACACTCCGAATACCCAGAACAATCCTGAGCAGAAATAATAAAACTGGAGGCATCACATTACCTGACCTACTACAAAGCTACAGTCACCAAGTGAGCATGGTACTGATGTAAAAACACACACAGACCAACGGAACACAACAGAGAACACAGAAATAAATCCACACATTTAAGCCAACTCATTTTTGAAAAAGAAGCCAAAAACACACAATGGGAAAAGGACAGTCTCTTCGATAAATGGTGCTGGGAAAATCTGGATATCCATATGTAGAATGAATCTAGACTCCCATTACTCACAATATGAAAACGTAACAAAAAACAAATCAAAATAGATTAAAGACTTAAATCTAAGACCTGAAAAGATACAATACGACACGACACGACACGACACGATACGATACGAAAACATTGGGGAAATGCTTCAGGATGTTGGTCAGGGCAAGTATTTTTTAGGTAATGCTTCAAAAGCACAGGCAACAAAAGCAAAAATAGGTAAATGAGATAACATCGAGCTAAAAAGATCCTGTACAGCAAAGGAAACGACCAACAGAGTGATGAAACAACTTACAGAATGGGAGAAAATATCTGCAATTTATCTGACAAGTATTAATAACCAGAATATATAAGGAGCAACAAAAAAGCAAGTATCTGATTTTGAAATGCACAAATGATCAGATTAGACATTTCTCAGAAGACATACAAATGGTTAATTGGTATATGAAAAAATGTTCAACATTACTAATAATACTCAGGGAAATGGAAATCAAAACCATAATAAGCTGGGCACGGTGGCTCACGCCTGTAATCCCAGCACATGGGAGGCCGAGGCAGGCAGATCACGAGGTCAGGACTTCAAGACCAGCTCAGCCAGCATAGTGAAACCCTGTGTCTACTAAAAATATTTAAAAAATTAGCCGGGCATGGCAGAGCACACTTGTAGTCCCAGCTACTCAGGTGGCTGAGGCAGAAGAATTGCTTGGACCTGGGAGGTGGAGCTTGCAGTGAGCAAAGATCACGCCACTGCACCCCAGCCTGGGCGACAGAGCAAGACTCTGTCTCAAAAAAAAAAAAAAGAAAAAAGATATTCTCTTACCCCACTTAATATGGCTATTATCAAAAAGACCATAAATAACAGATTCTGGCTACGGATGTAAAGAAAGGGACACTCTGGTACACTGCTGATGGGAATATAAATTAGTACAGCTATTACGGAAAACAGCATGGTCATTTCTCAACCACCATTTAATCCAGCACTCTCACTGCGAGGTATACACCCAAAAGAAAACAAACCAGTATATCAAAGAGAGATCTACATGCCCATGTTTATCGCACCACTATTCACCACTGCCACGATAGGGAATTAGCCTAAGTGTCCCTCAACAGACGAATAGATAAATAAAATGTAGCATATATAGACAATAGAATATTATTTAGCCATAACACAGCATGAAGTCCTGTCATCTGCAGCATCATGGATGAGCCTGAAGGATATCTTATGAGAAATAAGCCAGACAAAGAAAGGCAAATATCACATGTTGTCACTCATATGTGGAAGCTAAAAAGCTGATCCCATGGAGTTGGAGAGTAGAATGGTAGTTTATCAGAGGCTGAGAAGGGTACAGTGAAGGAGGGGAGGAAGACAAGTTGGTTAATGGGTACAAAAATACAATTAGAAGTGTTCAATAGCACAGTAGGTGACTATAGGTAACAACAATTTATTGTATATTTCAAAATAGCTAGAAGAGAAAATCTGGAATATTCTCAACACAAAGAAATGATAAATGCTTGAGATGATGGATATCCCAATTACCCTGATTTGATCATTAAACATGGTATGCATGTATCAAAATACCACAAGCACCATATAAATATGTATAATTATTTATCAATTTTAAAAGAGTACTATTGAAAGCAGACTATGTGTATATTCTTCCAGACATGCCTAACCTCATGGTTTTCTTTTCACACACAGTCATACTATGCCTCCTGACATGTAACCTGCTTTCACTCATTTAATAACACATAATGGATACACAGAATATATTTTGCCTGCTACTTTATCTTGCATTAAATGGCTCTACCATAATGTGTTTATCCGATCTCTTACCGATAATCTTTTATATCCCTTGTTGGTTTCTACTAATTAAGGCTGCAGTGAGCATCCCTGTACAAATACCTTCAATAATCTGTGGTGAATCTGGAGCATATGCTGGATCAAACGATACGAATATAAAGTTGTCTTTCAAATTAGTTGCACTACTGTATTCTCCCTTACTAACTGTACAGGAGCTTCTGTTTCCTCCTATTTATTTAATCTCTGACAATCAAATTTGTTAAAAATATCCTTGCTGTCAATGTAATTTGCATTTTTAAGTGTGGCTGAGCATTTCTTCATAGGCTTATTGGCCCACATTTATTTCTTCTTCTTCAAACTACAATACTCACACTGTTAAGTCAGTTTCCTATTGAACACGGGCCTTTTTCTTAGTTTCTATAAGAAGTTTCTTAAGTTGAAAGGACTGGAAATTAAAATTAATCCTTTTTCATATATGTGACAAATTTTCATCCTAATATATAATTTATCTTTGTATTATATCTTTCAAGATTCAGAAGTTCTACAATCAAAATTTGAAGTCAAAGTCCACAAAGAAATTCTATAAAGTCAGCAGCATTTTTAACCTTTTAATTTTTGTGGTGTTTTTTGGTCATGGTTAGAAAAGCCTTCCTTATTAAAAATCAAAATTTTTATTTTTTTTAATTTTTAACTTTTTTTTTCTTGTTTGGAGACAGGGTCTCGCTCTGTCGCCCAGGCTGGAGTGCGGTGGTACGATCTTGGCTCACTCCAGCCTTGACCTCCAGGACTCAAGCGATCTTCCCACCTCAGCCTCCTGAGTAGCTGGGACCACAGGAGGGAGCCACTACACCCAGCTAATTTTTGCATTTTTTGTAGAGATGGAGTTTCACCATGTTTCCCAGGCTGGTTTCGAACTTCTGAGCTTAAGCGATCTGCCCAGCTTGGCCTCCCAAAGTGCTGGAATTACAGGCATGAGCCACTGCGCCCAGCCCCAAAATCTTACTTTTATGGTTTTTTTTTTTTTAACCTTTGAATCTCTAGTCTAGTTGAAATGTATTGTGATGTTAGGAGTAGGGTGCATCCTTTTCTACTGAAATGTCCCATTAAATCAGGAAATTCCTCCTACTCTTTCATCTTGCCTTTTTTTCCAGAGGGAGTCTCACCCTGTCACCCAGGCTGGAGTGCAGTGGTACGATCTTGCCTTCCTGGGTTCTTTGGCAACCTCCGCTTCCTAGGTTCATGCGATTCTCACGTCTCTGCCTCCCAAGCAGCTGGAACCACAGGCACGCACCACCACACCTGGCTAATTTTTGTATTTTTAGTAGAGGCGGGGTTTTGCCATGTTGCTCAGGCTGGTCTTGAACTCCTGACCTCAGGTGATTCACCTGCCTGGGCCTCCAAAAGTGCTAGGATTACAGGTGTGAACCACCAGGCCTGGCCTCATCTTTTTAAGAGTCATCTATCCTTCCTTATAAATCAACCCTTTTCTACTGAAATATCCCATTAAATCAGGCAATTCCTCCTACTCTTTACTCTTGCTTTTTTTTAAGTCTATATCCTTTCTTATAATCTCTAAAACTAACTCACTCTTATTTTAGAATAGAGTTGTTCTTATAAAAATGATGTGTTATTTTTTAAAATTAAGAGAGAGAGCCGGGTGTGGTACCTTACACCTGTAATCCCAGCTACTCTGGAGGCTGAGGTGGGAGGACTGCTGGAGACCACCACCAGGAGTCTGAGACTAGCCTAGGCAACATAGTGAGACCCAGTCTTCAAAAAACTGTTTAAAGAAATGGTTTTGGGGTCGGGCATGGTGGCTGAAGCCTGTAATCCCAGCACTTTGGGAGGCCAAGGCAGGTGGATCACCTGAGGTCAAGAGTTTGAGACCAGCCTGGCCAACATGGTGAAACCCCATCTCTACAAAAATACAAAAATTAGCCGTGTATGATGGTGGGTGCTGTAATCCCAGCTACTCGGGAGGCTGAGGTGGAAGAATCACCTGAACCTGGGAGGTGGAGGTTGCAGTGAGACGAGATCGTACCATTGCACTCTAGCCTCGGTGGGAGAGCAAGACTCTGTCCCAAAAAAAAAAAAAAAAAAAAAAAAAAAAAGAAATGATTTTAGCTGGGTGTGGTGGTGCACACATGTAGGCCCAGCTACTCAGTAGGCTGAGGCAGGATGATCCCTGGAGCCCCCAAGTTTTGAGGATACAGTGAGCTATGATCGCACCACTGCACTTCAGCCTGGGTGACAGAGTGAGACACAGTTTCTAAAAAAACAAAAAAAGTAGTACAAAAAAGAAAAAAATCCCTATCACTCTGAAACAATCATTAAACACTAAACAAACATTATTCCAAACATCTCACTAGACATATGCTCAAAGTAAAAGATAATATATACAAAAAAAATTTTTTTAAGAAAATGGGATACTAATCCTGTCCCTTTAAATTTACTACATCAGAAGAAATAGAACAAACAAAGTTATAAGGTCACAAAGTAACTGACAAATGACCTGGCAAGAATTAGATCAGTGAACTTAAAAAAAAAAAAGACAAAACTGGATAGCTGCTTTAAAGATGAAGATTTGCATTTTAAGAGAATAACAGTCAAGGCTTTGTGAAAATTGAGCAATCTTAACTACTTTTAGCAAAAATAATCCTCTTTTTAGTCCTGCAAAAGCAAACATGAAGTCAAAGAGGCATGTTGCATGCAATTTTGTTGGAAAAGATTACTATATCCAAGAATTAGTACACAAGTATAACCTAAATTCTGTTTAAGACAAAATGGTTTTGATTTTCAAATTTTTCAAGTTATAGTACAATAAACTTTAAGTTTTAAGTTATTTGTTTTGAGCAAGTGGATTCTCTAAGTCCCTTTTTAGTCCTAAACATCATGCCCCAAGAGTCTAAAGTAGCAAATGAAACAAGAGATCAAATGATCACTTAGCCAAGTTTTCCAAATGAAGCATGAATGGATGGGTGAAAGGGAACATGCTTACTTTCTCTCATAGCACCTTCAAAAAGTAGCAATTAAATCCCCAAACATTCCAGGTTTTTTAAAAAATCATTATAAATATCATCCATCAGTGTGTTTCAAAACTATTTACATTTTCAGACAAACATTTGTCAGGATTTTCTGTCATCTCTATAAGATGGTACTTCCTACTAACTGACTTTGCTCACTCCAGTTTGATATATACAGGTTTTTGCTACTTTTTAAACATCTAGGCCTTGATGGACATATCCCAATGTTCCCCTTAGAGTCTATTCATGAATATGAACAGATTTCAAACATTACTACAGCATTTTCCATGTGCCATGCGCTAAACAACACTCTGTGACCATATTCTCTTCTCATCTACTTTCCAAACTAATAAGATCTGACGCTCACAATATGAAAGTTCTTTTTCTCCTATTCCCTTGAGGTGCCTTTACCATGTTCATAATATATCTTTCAGGAGGTGTAGAAACCAGAGCTGCAAATAGCGTTCTAGATATGAGTGCCTCATCATTTTATAAAAATTGAAGTGTTACCAATGCCATTTTTGATGAAATTCAATGCACTACTGATCTTCCTGAATGAAATCTATATGGAAAAAAACTTTCAGCTTACAAAACTGTCCACTTTTCCAATCTTAAAGAATACTTACAGTTAAAAATATTATTATTGATATATAATGGTATGTATTTATAGGGTACATGCGATATTTGGTACGTGCATACAATGTGTAATGGTCAAATCAGGGTATTTAGAATATCCATCACCTCAAACATTTATCATTTATTTGTGTTGGGAACATTTCAAATCTTCTAAACCATTCTGAAATAGACAATAAATTGTTGTTAACGGTAGTCACCCTACTGTGCTACTGAACAGTAGAATGTATTCCTTCTAACTATTTTTGAACTCATTAACCATCCTCTCTTCATCTTTTCCCTCTCCCACCCTTCCCAGTCTCTGGTAACTATCATTCTACTCTTTACCTCCATGAGATCAACATTTTTAGCTCCCACATGAGAACATGTGATATTTATCTTTCTGTGCCTGGCTTAATTTCACATAATGACCTCCAGTTCCATCCATGTTGCTGCAAATGACAGGATTTCATTCTTTTTATGGCTGAATAGTAGTCCATTTTGTGTGTGTGTGTGTGTGTGTGTGTGTGTGTATCACACTTTATCCATTCACCTGTTGATAGATATTTAGATTGATTTGATATCTTGGCCACTGTGAATAGTGCTGCAATAAACATGGGGGTGCAGGTATCCCTTTGATATTCTGATATCCTTTCTCTTGGACAGATACCCACTAATGGGATTGCTGGTGGGCAGTTCTATTTTTAGTTTTTTTGAGAAACCTGCATACTGTTTTCCATAATGGCTGTAATAATTTACATTTCCACCAATAATGTCAAATATTCACTTTCAATGGTTACATTACTTAAACAATCGCCTATAAAAATAAGTAAATCGAGTATAAGAATTCGAGGCTTTATAATCAAGGGTATCATAAATCGGACAATAAAAAATACTAGTAAGCAATTCAATTCTCTTAAAGTTTAACATGTTTTTTACATAAGCAATTTTCTAACCTAGAACTAAGACAATAAATGTGAAATAACTGTCTTAGTCCCTTCTGTGTTGCTACAGCTGCATACCTGAGACTGGGTAATTTATGAAAAACAGAAAATAATTTCTCACAATTCTGGAGGCTGGGAAGTCCAAGATCCAGGTATCTGATCTGGTAAGGGCCTTCTTGTTACATCTCAACATGGCAGAAAGCAAAAAGTTAAGCTAACATGCTAAACTTTTTGTGGAGGCTCTTTTTTTTTTTTTTTTTTGAGACGGAGTCTCGCTTATCGCCAGTCTCGCTTGTTGCCCAGACTGGAGTGCAGTGATGCCGTCTCAGCTCGCTGCAACCTCCGCCTCCCAGGTTCAAGCAATTCTCCTGCCTCAGCCTCCCTGGTAGCTGGGATTACAGGTGCATGACACCATGCTCAGCTAATTTTTGTATTTTAGACGTGAGACGTGGTTTCACCATGTTGGCCAGGCTGGTCTCAAACTCCTGACCTCAAGCAATCCACCCGCCTTGGCCTCCCAAAGTGCTGGGATTATAAACATGAGCCACCGTGCCCAAGCTGTGGAGGCTCTTTTATAAGGGCCTTAATCCCATGAAGGATGGAGGAGTCCTCATGGCCTAATCACCTCCTAAAGGTCCCACCTCTCATTATCTTCACATTGGCAACACCTGAATTTTGGAGGGGACACATTCAAACCACAGCAGTGACTGACTGAAGACATTTTAAAAATCCATTTGAAATAGACCTCAGACTATTATAAAAGCAAGTGATGTATTAACCCAAAGAGTATGGAAATGGAAATTATCCTGGAAAAAGTGATGGAAAAAAAGTGTAAAGAAAATAAGGATATACACAATAAACATTACACTAATCAAAAAGAAACATACAAGGTCTAGGATTAATAAAGAGAACTGTGAGTTGGGTGTTAAGAGTCCTGAAATTCAAAGGTATAATTGCCCAAACTAGCTAAATAAAGTGGGTCAAGTTATTCTATTATGGATCTCAGTTTCCTCATCTTTAACATGAAGACAAGGGATCAGATGTGCTCCGATTCTTCCTGCTCTAAAATTCTATAGTTCTGTTACTTAAAACTGAGAAGCCATCTAACTTCTTTACCAAAGTGCTATCTGGTTGAGGCCTACCACCACTTTTCCCTGATTTATTATTCACCAAACAGAAACATCGCATTTTCCAGGCACAGCACCATCTTACACTAACTAGAAAGGACTAGATTCAAATTCAGACAAATAACCACTTTCAAATGACTAATGCTTCTTAGGCAGAATCTTTGTTACAAACTGCTTCATACCTCTGCTATACCATATCCAACTGGGCAACAGTATAACACACACAAAAAAGTATATTACTAAGATAGTTATGAATACTCAAAGAAATAACTTTACAGAAAATGTAGAAACCAGTGCTGATGTTCAGGTTTACTCTTCAGTCTCTAGTGAGTTTGAATGCCATCCTTCAAGCCAATAAAGAAGAGATTCCTTGAGGTAAATGGGTACAACTTAGCAGCCCAGACCACAAAACTATATCCTATTTCTAGGAAAGAATACCAGAGCAAAACCATCTTTTCAAAGTACCATTTCCATTTTAATTACCACACAGATGAAGCCTTGTTGAGGTCTATCATGCAAAGAATTTTTTAATAGTCTAAATCAAGTATTTCAGACTTCAAACATTCATAACATTTTAAAACAGGGGCAACAGAGAATCTGAGCTTTGCTTTTCAAAAATATTTTTAACCCCATTCTCTTTATTCTATTATAAATTATACTTCCATAACAAAATCCACTTGTATAAAATATTATTTTAATAAAATAAAGAAACATAGTAACATAAATAAATTGATCACCAAAAAACAGCTTCAGAACACATTTTTTATCTCACCTCTACACTAGGGCTAAGGCTGCTTGGCAGTGTCTCTGAAGTCACAGTAGAGCTTGGAAGGCTGGAAATCTCCCAAGTATTCACAGGTTGAATTGGTTCAGACGGCTTTGAACGATCTATACATTTTGGATTATCCAGTAAGGTCACTTCATAAAATTCTTGAATATCTAGAAGAAGGAAAATAAAAATTCATAAGTATTTATATTTTCTAACTAAATTATGCAATGCTATAACAACATAACTCAAAAGCACAATTTTTACTCTAGATTAGTAAATCAATTCCCATCGTATAATGTACTTAAACAGTGAATATTATCTTATTTCATTATATCACAATCATATCAGAACCTGCAGGGCACAGTGTAAAATTCATAGGCTTTTTACACTTCAAAGTCAGCACTTGATTCAAATCCCAACTCCATCACCAACTAGCTACAAGTTCAGGCAAACTACTTAACCTCTGGTAACTTGCCTCTTAGCACTGTGAATTGTTTCAAGGCTCAAGTATAATACATATAAGATGCCTAGCACTATAGCACAGAATAGGCTCCTAACAGATGGTAGCTAATATCATTACTGTGAATTCTACAGATAGGAGTTATTACCGTTCACCACCAATATCTAAGCTGGGAATGTAAATCCCTCAAGTGGTTTTAATTGCCCTTCTAGCCAAAGCCAAAGCCAAAAAAAAAGAGGAAATTAAAATCAAAGAACTAGAAGGGCTTTCGGATATCCTCTAGTCTGAATATTTTATAATAGTAAATTAAATATTTTATACTACTTTAGAAACAATCAGTTAAAGTCATGACAAAACTCTAAAATAAATGATAAATTTATTTATAATAGCACAGGATAATTTAAAAGATCAAATGACTTTGCAATCAGCTAGAATTATAAAAACTTATTAACACTAATTATTCCCGCTATTCCGAAGCTGTAAGTAGCAGTTATATAACGCTTAGATTCACCACGCTTAATTCCTTATTCACCAACTTGTATAATTTTGGATAAGGGAATAGTAAAAGTGGGCATTACCCTGTATAGAATAATTCATAACTGTAAGCAACATTTAGACAGAATAACTTAGACTTCTTGCTTCTCATTATTTTAAAAGCATTAGTCCTTTTAAAAACAAACTTCACAAAATAGAGACAAACTTAACTCCCTTTTCAGTTGGGTTGTTTTTTTTTTTTTTTTTTTTGAGACAGAGTCTCGCTCTGTCGCCCAGGCTGGAGTGCAGTGGTATGATCTTGGCTCACGGCAACCTCCACCTCCTGGGTTCATGCGATTCTCCTGACTCAGCCTCCGAGTAGCTGGGACTTCAGGCACGTGCCACCATGCCTGGCTAATTTTTGTACTTTTAGTAGAGACAGGGTTTCACCATGTTGGCCAGGCAGGTCTCGAACTCCTGACCTCAGGTGATCTGCCCGCTTCAGGCTCCCAAAGTGCTGGGATTACAGGTGTGAGCCAGTGCACCCAGCCCCCTTTCAGTTTTAATAACCAGTGGAATTGCAAAACTTTCCAAGTAAAGGGCTGGTAAAAACTAACACTTGTACAGTGAGGATAATATTAACCTACCTCACAGGGTGTTAAGAATATTATATACACACATACGCACACACACATATGTGCTATGCATACACGCAAACACACACACATCACACTATGTAAAACAAAATCCAACTATAGCAAAATAATGCTTCAAAAGTCATCTCTCTCAATACTATTTTATCAGGAATTGCCAAATTTACTACCTAGTATAAAATGATAGTCTTTCAATAAACCTATGCAAAAATTTAACTTGAGTACAACTCTAAACTTAAATCTTCACCATGAAAATGTAAAGAAAATGGGAGCACAGAGGGGTAGTCAAGAGACTGCCAATAGCTACAAGTGATTCTATATTCATCTGAAGATCCAGAAAGCTTACCAAATACCAAAGAATTGAAATCACCTATTACATTTTTATTTACTACCCTGCGAAAAATTATTTTCTTTGAAAATAATGATACACTACAGCAAGCAAGAAGAGAAAACAAGAAAATGCAGAAATACTAAAATATGTATTAGGAAAAAATTAGATTTTGGTTGACTCACAACTGAAAACATTAATTTTGTTGAAACCTACTCGGTCAATCTTATCACAGTCTATTCCTCATTTTCCATTCATAATCTGCAAGTGCTTTCCCTGTTTTGGCCTAAACTGGGTTTCCACAAGTCCGATTCCTGAACGCAGATCTAAACAAGACCACACAAAGCTCTAACATGTACACTAAGAAACCTCCAAAAATCAAACTTGAAGAAAAGCAGTTAGGTCCAACAGAAGAGGCCAGAATCATTCTTATCTATTAAAAAAAAAAAAAAAAAAACTGGAAATCTCCAAGATCACACATTTCAGAAGCCTTCAAATATATAATTTTCTTTTACATAAAAATTTTTCATTACCTTTGTTATTTTCTTGCTAGAATTCAAAGTTTGCAAACAATGGGAGTAAAGGGAAAGTGCAGAATCCCAGAAATACTCTCAAAGGGGGTGAGGAATGGGAGAAAGGGAACTTTCAAATAGGCAAAGAAACATTCTAGCTTTTGGTGACAACTTACATAATCTTAAACAGAGAAACCCACAAGCCAAGAAACATTTCTCAAACTAAAGAAATAAGGCAATACTAACTTAGGGTCAGGGGAGAAAATCTAAATACAGGCCCAAGAGTATGTAATAATTTAACATAATACCGGTGACATTTCTAATCTATGAGAAGATAATAATTTTATTTGATGGGGAAAAGAGAATGAAAAGATAAGCCACAGACAGGGAGAAAATACTGGCAAAACACATACCCAATAAAGGACTAATATTCAAGTGGACAAAAAATTCTTTAAGACTCAACAATAAGAAGACAATCCAATAAAAAAATAGGCAAAAGATACAGACAGACACTTCACCAAAGACAGAGATGGCAAGTGAGCATATATCAAATATCACCAGGGAATTTCAAATTAAAACAAGATACTACTACACACCTATTAAAATGGCTAAAATCCAAAGCACCAACACTACCAAATGCTGGTGAGGACACAGGGCAACACATTGCTGACAGGAATGCAAAATGGTACAACCACTTTGGAAGGCACTTTTGGCATTTCTTAAAAACTATACATACTCATACTATATATGCTCCAGCAATTGCGCTCCTTGGTATTCACCCAAACAAGCTGAAAACTTAAGTCAACTCAAGACCCTGCACACAAACGCTCACAGTAGCTTTATACTAACTGATAAAACTTTGAAGCAACCAATATGTTCTTTAACAGGTGAGTAGATAAACTGTAGTATGTCCACACAATGGAATATTATTCAGTCATAAAAAGATACGAGCTATTAGGTATGAAAAGGCATGGAGGAACCGTAAATATATTACTAACTGAAAAAAGCCAATCTAAAAAGGTTACATACTTATGATTCCAATTATGACATTCTGGAAAAGGCAAAACTATGGAGACAGTAAAAAGATCAGTGGTTTTCAGGAGTTTGTGTGGGGGGTGTAGAAGTGGGGTACCGGAGAAGAAGAAGAGCACACAGGATTTTTAGGGTGGTGAAAAACAACAGCGGTCTCCAACCTTTTTGGCACCAAAGACCGGTTTTATGGAAGACAATTTTTCCACAGAAAAGAGGGTGGGGGAGCTTCTGCAGTGAAACTGTTCCACCTCAGATCATCAGGCATTAGATTCTCTCATAAGGAGTGCACAATCTAGATCCCTTGCACGCGCAGTTCACGACAGGGTTCATGCTCCTGTGAGAATGTAACGCCGCTACTGACCTGACGGGAGGCAGAGCTCAGGTGGCAATCGCTCGCCTGCCGCTCAGGTACAGGTCTGTGGCACGGGAGTTGGGGACCCCTGCTGTACAATACGGCAATAGTGGATACGTGTCAAAGCAAAAAATGTGCACATCAGATTTGTCAATGTACAATGCAAAGAGTGACTACTAATGTAAAGTATGGGCTTTAGCTAATGACAATATATTAATATTGGCTTATCAATTTTAACAAATATACCACACTAATGCAAGGTTTGTTTTTGAGACAGGGTCACTCAGGCTGGAGTGCAATGGTATGATCATGCTCATTGCAGCTGTTATCTCCCTGGCTCCAGCAATTCCACCACCTTGGCCTCCTCAAGTGCTGGGATTATATACAAGAGCCACCTGAGCTCAGGCCTTTTTTTTTTTTAAAGAGACAGAGTCTCACTCTGTCACTCAAGCTGCAGTACAGTAGCGCCTTCACCTCCTGGGCTCAACAAATCCTCCTACCTCAGGCTCCCAAGCAGCTGGGACGACAGGTGCATGCCACCATGCCTGGTTAAATTTTTTTTTTTCCTAAGACAGGGTCTTACTATGTTGCCCAGGCTGGTCTCAAACTCCTGGGCTCAAGGATCCTCCCACCCTGGCCTCCCAAAATGTTGGGATTACATGCGTTGAGCCACCACACATGGCCTACAAGATGGAAAAGGGAAGTGGGGCTTTGGGATATGGGAACTGTACTTTCCACTCAATTCTTCTGTAAATTCAAAACTGCTGAAAAAAATCTATTAATTTCTTAAACTGCATGAGAGATAAATAAACTTATATTAAAAGGCAATCTCATACTTTATATCAAGATAATTTTCAAATGCATTAAAATGTTAAAGTCTTGAAAGAATTTGAATACAGGTTTTTACAATCTTGGCAATAGATTATAATAATGTTGGGGCTTAGAGCATTGGGAATGTTTCCAAACGTATTAAGGGCAGAAAGCAGTATATTGATAAAGAAAAATATTGATAAACCCAACCATATATATATATGTTTTCTTTAAAAGCCAAGTTTAAAAGCAAGTAACACGGGAAGTTATTTGCAATTTACACGGCAGAGTTGACAGGCCTAATGTAGATTTTATACCTCTAAGAAAAAGGAAAAAGGAGGAGGAAGGGGCACAAATTAAACAGATAATTTACAAAAGAAATTAAAATAATTAAAGACTTTCTTACAGCTTTGGATATTTCTTTAATCAACAAAATGCACAATAAAACAGAAAAATGACTAAAGGTATATTCCATATATCAGAGTAGAAAATATTTAAAAGATGGATAACACTCTGTATTGCTTAAGGTATGGTGAATTGGTCATTCTTCCACATACTTCCTAAAAAATAAATACAACATTCCTAAGAGTATTTAACAAATTACCTCAATAGCCTTAAAATGCACACTCCCTTTGACCAAACAATTCATTTCTAGGAGTTTGTCCTAAGAATATAGTAAAGAATTGAAACAAAAATGCATATGCAAATACAATATTTATAATTCACAAAAATTACAAACCTAAATGCTCCTAGGAAACCATTAAAAAAACTACAGAAAATCTATATAGGCCGGGTGCAGTGGCTCACACCTGTAATCCCAGCACTTTGGGAGCCTGAAGCAGGCAGATCAGGAGGTCAAGAGATCGAGACCATCCTGGCCAACATGGTGAAACCCTGTCTCTACTAAAAATGCAAAAACTAGCTAGGCGTGGTGGCGCACGCCTGTAATCCCAGCTACTCAGGAGGCTGAGGCAGGAGAATCACTTGAACCCAGGAGGCAGAGGTAGCAGTGAGCCGAGATTGCACCACTACACTCCAGCCTGGTGACAGATCAAGACTCCGTCTCAAAAAAAAAAAAAAAAAAAAGAAAAGAAAAGGAAAAAAAAAATCTATATACACAGTCACTTAAAATGGTACGAATCTGGCCAGGCACAGTGGTTCATGCATGTAATCCCAGCACTTCGAGAGGCTGAGGCGGGCGGATCACCTGAGGTCAGGAGTTCGAGACCAACCTGACCAACATGAAGAAACCCTGTCTGTATTAAAAATACAAAATTAGCCAGGCGTGGTGGCACATGCCTGTAATCCCAGCTATTCAGGAGGCTGAGGCAGGAGAATCGCTTGAACCTAGGAGGCGGAGGTTGTGGTGAGCTGAGATCAAGCCATTGCACTCCAGCCTGGGCAACAAGAGTGAAACTGTCTCAAAAAAAAAAAAAAAAAAAAAAAAATACATACATACATACATACATACATACATAAAATGGTAGAAATCTACTGACATGGAAAGACATTTGTCGATAAACTTTAGAAGATAAAAACAATATGTATAGTACAGAGAAATCATACTATTCACACTTATACAAATACAACTGCAGTATATCTCCCCTGCAAAAAAGGGCAACTCTGTCTACCCAATAAGTGACTGTCACAAATAAAAAAATGAGAAGGAAGAAGATTCTTCCTTTAGGTAGTCTGAGTTTTCATGTGCCTCTCAAAATGTGAGCTTCTTGCTATATCTCACTGTGCTGAGTGTGATTCTATAATTACGTGTTTTTAGTACAAGAAGTCAAACAAGCCAGTTGCTTCGTCTAGGGCTCAAGTGAAGAAATCATTCCTTTCCACTAGAGGAAAAAAAACAATTGTGCTGTAATTAACAAGAGCTAGTGTTAAATTTCTGAAGGCTTTTCAGGGATAATTTTAACTAGATGAGGTTTTTCACCTTACATGCTGATTTTAAGTATCAATTCTCACAAGGGAAATAACTGTTTTACTTAGAAGTTTGTTTTGCAAAATGAAGGTGGGGGGTGGCGTGTATACACGCGCATACACACACACACACACACACACACACAAATAACATTCCAGGATATTCATCCCATGGATGAAGTAGGAGGTAACCTCTGGTGTGAATATTTTCTTATGGTATTTTACATATAATAATCTGATCTCAAATGTTTTATATAGAACATGCATCATTTTTATAATAAATTTATTTTGGAGGGTTACAGGAAAGGCAACTAGAAAGCTGAAGAACACTGAAATATAACCCTACCATTTCAGAGGAAAAAAATTCTATCAGTTCATTTACTAAAAGCAAGTATGATTATTCAGACAATACCCAATTGAGTAATCAAAATTAACATCATCAGTGAAGGGCAGATGACATACTAAGATAATACCACAATAGTCAAATCTACTCAAGCACAAATACTCTTTCTTCTAAACCAATGTTCATTTAAAAAGTCATTTTTGACCCCTAGAAGAAAGAATATCCTATAAAATTTAAAAGTTTGTACTATTGTTTCACACACTAAAGAAAGGAAAGATGTCAAGCTAGTAGGCAAAAATAAATCACTTGAATACTTTAGATACTATTAGACTAAGAATCATACATGACTCACAAGCATATTCCATAAAACAAGGTGTGTACTAAAAGGAACCAGAGCTTCTCAGAGAAATGGCTGATTCCAGGGCTGGGGCAGGAGAGGTACAAGATAAACCTGGAACATCTTGTTATGCCAAAAATTAAGAAAGTGCTCCAAAAAATGATGAGGGCATCTCATAAGGACACAAGCTTGAAAGGGCCCCCACTGGATCACTCAGAGCACAAATGTCATTAAGGATGGTAATAAATGATAAGTCATTGAAAAAAAAACAGGTATCTGCAAGTTCATGAAAGACACGGGAAAAAAAGAAGGAAGGCTCTTGTTTAGAATAAAATGCAAAGTGTTAACTGGTAAACCTAGGAGTGTTACTGTTAGAAATCTTACTTTTCAACAACCATATTATAAACCGGTTCAAGAATCATCAATGGATGCTAAATATGGGTGGAAATTTTGCTAAGGAGTAGGATATGTACATGGTGTTAAAGTGTCTCCCCCACATATTGCCTATAAGCCACAAGGGGTAAAAAACAATGACTATAGGATACAGAATTCAGACAACACCCAACTAGGTAATCAAAATCAGTATCATCAACAAAGAGCAGATGACTCTGTGTACCTCTGGATGTACAGAATCCTAAGCCAGGAATACAAAACCTGAATCTAATCACAAGGAAACATCAGACAAACCCAAAATGAGAAAATTATATTAAAAAAAAGTAAGAGTGGAAGGAACTGCGTTTTTCAAAATCATCAATCTCAGCTGGGCGCAGTGGCTCACACCTGTAATCCCAGAACTTTGCTCAGGAGTTCGAGACCAGCCTGGGCAACACCTGTCTCTAGAAAAAGTTAGCCAGGCGTGGGGGCTCACACCTGTAGTCCCAGCTACTCAGGAGCCTGAGGCAGGAGGATTGCTTGAGCCTGGGAAGCAGAGGTTGCAGTAAGCCACCACTGCACTCCAGCCTGGGTGGCAGAGCAAGACCCTGTCTCCAAATAGTAAAAAAAAAAAAAAAAAAAAAAAAGTCAGTCTCACACAAGACAAAGAAAAGCTGTGGAAATGTGCCCTAAGTAAAGAGACGTGACAACTAACGGTAATATCTGGTCCAAGTCTGGATTCTGCACTGAGGAAAAATATGACCCTGCAGAGAGGAAATGGCTTAGAAGAAATATTTAGATGCCTTTACAACTCTGATTCCAAGGTTCTAAAGAGAATTCAGCCAGATTCAACATAATCAAAACACTGCTTCAGAGCAGTAGTAAGCAAACTATGAGCAAAGAACTCAATCTAATTGAATCAAAACCATCAAGTGAGAAGTTACTAAAATTCTCCATTTCAGGAAGTTTCAGCCAACGATGTGATCCATATCCTGTTTTCCTTACTCAAATCTAGCCTACAAAGTTACACACACACACACACACACACACACACACACACACACACAGTTAGCAAGAGACTAAAATGTAACATCAGTGGGACTAATATAATGCAAAAGAAATTTAAGAAATTTTGACATTTTACCACTATAGCTGGAAGATCTCAAACCCTGATTACTAAACACTGTTTTCAAAATGTGTGATTTCCATCATCATAAACATAATGCACCATTATAAATATTTTCCTTCAAAGTGACAATCATTTAAAGATTACTAACCCTAAAGATTGCTATCTGTCTTAAGCATGCTTGTCATTTAGTATTCTTTATCAGATTAAAATACTCAGTTCTGAAAAACAACGATAAAGAATATCCCAATGGTTGACGGTGAGAAGTATCTATGGATTCAGATTAGTTGAGTTCAATTTCTGGCTCCGCAATTTAGCATCTGAGGGTCCAAGGGCAAGATTGGTCATTTCTCAGTGCTTCAGTTTTCCAGTCTATAAAACAGTACAAACACCTCATACAGGTGAATGTACACCTCACAGGATTACAATGACTAAATGATATATTTGTATTAGCACATAGAAAGTGCTCAATAAATGTTGGTTATTATGTTTTACATACACTTGAAGAGGAGTCATATACTCACACTTATTAGGATGGCTATTATCAAAAAAAGAAAGGAAAAAAATTAAGTATCGGCAAGGATGTGGAGAAACTGGAAATCCTGTGTGCTGCTGGTGAGACTGTAAAATGCTGCAATCACTATGGAAAACATTATGGTGGGCCCTCAAAAAATTAAAAATGTAACTGCCGTATGATCCCACAATCCTATTTCTGGGTAAATATCCAAAAGAACTGAAAGCAGGGTCTTGAAGAAATATTTGCACACTCACATTCCTAACAGCATTATTCACAACAGCCAGGAGGAGGAAGCAACCCAACTGTCCATCAATGGATGGCTAGATAAAATGCGGTATATACATACAACGGAATATTATTCAGCCTGAAAAAGGAAGAAAATCCTGTCAACAACTACAACATGAATGAACCTTGCGGACTCTACACTGAGTGAAATAAGCCAGTCGCAAAAAGACAAATACTTCTATGAGGTTTCTAACATGATCAAATTCACTGAAACAGAAAGCAGCACGTTGGTCACAAGGGGCTGGGAAGTGAGAGGAAAGGGGAGCAGTTGTTTATTCGGTATAGGATTTCAGTTTTGCAAGACGAAAGTGTTCTGAAGATTTGTTTCACAACAATATGAATACATTTCACACTCCTGAACTGTACATTTAAAGATGGTGAAGATGGCAAAGGGGTCATACTTTTGAAACTAGTATCTACAAATAAAGATAGGGTAATGTCCTTTTATAAGGGCTAGTGAAACTATTAGATTTTAATAGAGTGGCAACAAATGAACTGGTAACTAAACTCATAAATGGACAGTATTATTACATAATCCACTTTCATTCTGAAATCTCTGCAGAAATAAAACACTGCATTAGAATAAGCTTATTTATTGCAGACAAAATATACAAATCACATGACTCAACTTACTCAAGTCTCTAAAGCCAGCCTAATCTTGGGCCCCAGTTTTTCTCATGCACAAGGAAAGCAGATGAGTTCTCTGATCCCGTAAGAAATAACTGCAGGGGTTTAGACTGGTATGAAGTCTCTATGGACTAGCAGTGTCATCTCAGATCCCACACACCTTAGAATCATGAATGAACTGAAACCACTATGGACCTGAATACCTGGGCTCTGATTATAATCAAACCATATCCCGTCTACTCAAAAAATTTTCAAACTTAAGCACAAAAAACTGGAATACAAAAGCAAGTTTTCAAATTGCTCTCACCTAAATCACAGAGTGAAATTAAGCAGACTTTATCTTCCTTTATACAAAAATAATCACCAGGTATGTTTTGGGAGTAAATTTTAAACAAATGTGCAGTTCATGGACTTTTGTTAAGATACAACTTTAAATATTTAGCTCTAAAGAAACAATACATCAGCTGAAATTCAAAATTAGTAAAAACTTTTCTGCTTTCAATAATTTTTAAATCTTTAAGCCATCCTTCAAAGATACTACCAAGTATCTATCAGCACTAGACCAATGATTTCTATATTACATTGCGAGTATCAATTATAAAATGCACTATTTCATGTGTCAGAACACAGAAACACTGTCAATTAAAAATGACATATACCAGATATTGAAATATTTAACAGTTGGTATTTTAGAACAAATATAATACAGTACGTACATGCTTGTCCCTCTGAATAATCCAAAAGTACAGGAACCTAATCTATGTATCAACTACAGGGGGGGACACCAAACCCCTAGAGACTCAAACTTTTTTAAATGCATGAAAAGTCAATATAAACTACCAGTTCAAAGAATCAATCAATAAATGATCAATGCAGACTGAAAATCCAAAGACACTTGGCACCCCAAACAGATAACTAGATAACTCACTGCGGCCTAAACAAGTGATTTCCAAATTAAGGAAGTGAAAAATCTAAGCACTCAATGACTCCAAACAGCTCAGGTGGCCAAGACCCCTGTTCTCCTTTAATCCAGTGGTCCACAGGTACCAACTCAGAAGACAGAGTGCCACTTACTGAGAGAAAAAACCTTTCAGTAAGTGGCACTCTGTCTTCTGAGTCGGATTTTTCTGCAAACACTATGGACACAATGAACTGGTTTAGCTTAGGGCAGTTTACAAGCTTAAAGTACATTTATGACACTGTTTCAAAACAATGGTAGAGTTGCAAAATACAAAGAAAATCTTATCAGACTAAACATTTTCAGACTAAGTATTAAAAGTTATTCAGGAAACACAAGAGAATGTATTTATTCCGTAGTATCAACAATTATAGCATGGAAACACACAGAACCTCTATTAAACGTTATCTATTTCAAAACTCCTAAAATCTATTACTTGTCTTACACCAAAATGTGATATAGTACCACATCCTATAGAACATTAAATATAAGTAAATTTAAATGTCAAAGTAAATTCACAACCAATGAAATTAGAAGATTCACAAATATAAACTTAGTAATTAGGAAGCTAACTCTAGGCCAGACGCGGTGGCTCACGCCTGTAATCCCAACATTTTGGGAGGCCGAGGTGGGTGGATCACGAGGTCAGGAGATCGAGACCATCCTGGCTTACACAGTGAAACCCCGTCTTTACTAAAAATACAATACAAAAAATAAAAAATTAGCCGGACGTGGTGGTGGGCACCTTTGGTCCCAGCTACTCAGGAGGCTGAGGCAGGAGAATGGCGTGAACCTGGCAGGCGGAGCTTGCAGTGAGCGGAGATCTCGCCACTGCACTCCAGCCTGGGTGACAGAGTGAGACTCTGCCTCAAAAAAAAAAAAAAAAAAAAAGAGAAGAAAGCTAACTCTATCAAAGTTCAATTGTACGTAAGAATAGACACATTCAAAACAGGCAAGGCAGAATAGGTCAAAAATGTCTCTGAACACAGCAAACCCATCCCCAATCTAGACAGAAATATAAATGTAGATTCTGTTATTTCACTAACGATTTAATTTTCTTAAGTTACAGCCATCACACAAAGAAAAGTCTGCAGTCTATCTATCTGCCTATCTATACATATATGTATATATATATCTCTATACTGTTGCGAAAAAACATACTTTTTTTGCAACAGTAACTGCACCAAATTACTAGGCTCAATGTTGATTTAGAAAACAAATAACTAAAAAATGCTTTTTGCTGTTTTTCCAGAGGAATCCAATTTGATCATCCATTCGGACCTTAAACCTCAGAAATTCAAATGTGTAAAAAATGTCCATCAATGTAAACAAAAATGGCAAAATGTGAATTTCTGGAGCTGGGTAACAGTTAAAAGGCAGTTCATTACACTGTGCTATGTATCCTTATGTTTTTAAAAGTCTATTAAAATGTTACATTTTTCAAAATTGTTCAGGTGCATCAAGTGGTCTTTACAAAAATCTTTCATTCTAAAACCGTAGAGAGCATCCATTTATCAATAATGTACCTGACAGGACACACTGACTTGAAAGTAGTCTTCAAATCACACCAACAATTATTCTATCAACAGATAGATGTAAGGCCATATCTGACTGGAAGTTACTGAAGAAATAAATGTAATATAATTAAGTATATGTCTTCTTATGTTAAAATGTTATATAGTTGATAACTAAAACAAAAAAAAAAAACTTCATTCTTAGAATTGGAAGAGACAAACTTTCTAGTTCGGTGGTTTGCAAACTTTTTGAGGTACCTGGACAAAAGAGCCAGACAAGTCACCTTGTTTTATACATAGGAGATTATACACAAAATATGAGATGATGCTTTTAAAAATGATTTATCTACTTAAAAAAGGCTTTAAACCCATTCTGTCATTTCAACAGCTACATTCTACAGCTAATATGGTGGCATAGAAAAGATTAAATGACTTGGGATATATCATTCAATTAGTGGCAAAAGAACTCAGGACTCTTATTTTTCCAGTTCTTTCAAACAATGCACCACTTCAAATTAAGTTACAATTAAGAATAAAACTTTCCATTTTCTTGCCTGTAAAATACGGTTACTAGACAAGATCATCTCTAAGATTATTTTCCAGGTCTAAAATTCTGACTCCATGAATGCCAAGCTCAAACAGAAATCTACATTAAGGGAATGAATGTTCTTCAACACAGCAGAACCCTTCACACGCTTTCAATGACTTCAGAGACATGCCAGTCAAATACAGAAACAAGCTCACAGTAACTCAGTCATACCTTTTAGGTCCTTAAACATCTGTGCAACATCTTTTAATAGTTAATGCTATTAAGATGTGAAACAATGTTCTCAAAAGCCACTGAAATAATCCTGAAAGTTTTTTGGTTACTAGTTATTTTAAGAAAGGACACTGGCCTATGAAAAACACACAACTCACTGAAGATGTTCAAGTTACCGAATGCCTCAGAGAATTAAGTACATCATTTTCTTAAGTTTAAAATAAATGAATTGAGAGGAGCATAAAGCCTAGCTGGCATAATAGTTACGAAGTTTTAATTCCCACCTATTAAAGCCTGAAAGAGGTTGCTCTGAAATATGTTAATAACCCGTTCTATGGAACTTCTGAGCTGTCTGTCTTCAGTTTGGCTTAGTTTTGAACGATATTCCTCCAAAAGGTGCAATGCTCTCTGGGTATCTGAGAAGAAAAAGCAGAGCCTGATTAAAACTCTCTATTTACAAAAAAAGTATCACATACTAGTGCAAATAATTCTGCATGACATCTAAATAGTTCCGCAAATCCTTCAGGTCAATTGATGTCACTATGTTCATGTACACATATTCCTTAGAATGACCAAAAAATAAAAAAAAAAATTAAAGAAATACAAGAAAAATTTAAACATATATCACATTAGAAAACGGAGGAGAGTGAGCAGTTTGGAATAAATGTGTACTGGTAGTTTGCCAAAGTAAAAGATCAAAGTATTAGCAACAGTTTCAGATTACCTGATAATGCAAAAGCAGATTATCTACAATTTGTCATCATAATCCAAATTTTTAACATTTCAAAATACAAATTCTTAGTATCCCACAGTTGCTTACAGAATAGTGCTTAGTAAGAATGATAGAGTGAAATACTAAAACACCAATTCAGGGTTATTAAGGACATCTGTTGGGGGGGGGCTAACTGCCTCTCTTAATCACTAGAGAAATGTTAAGAAAGTTTAACAAACATTTTCGTGTTTCCATCTTCTGAAATGATATGAGGCTTAGATTCCCTAAGCAATAAAGCTAGGACCGTGCTGTCTCATCAAAGTTACACAAACGATTCTAAAACGGCAATCAAAAAACTGACACACGGAAAAGCAAGTGACATCGACAACAGAGTTACGGAATAAACTCTCACCTTGCTTCCGGACCGGCATTTTTCTCCAGAATCAGGAAGAGGGCACACACCTTTAAAACACACAACGGAAAGGAAAAAGGATAGAATCATGTTAAACTAGCATTTTCCCCTATCGAAATAGAAAACCCTCGCAGCCTATTTGAAAACCCCACGTTCCAAAGTTTTACCAAGTCAAAGAAAGAGTCTCAAAACGCAGCAGTTGTCTGTCAACGTGGAAAGCTTTTCCTTGGAGTGGGTACCCCTCCAAATTAAGAACAGACAGAAGTCGGCTTCCAAACTCTCCTCGAAAGCGTCCCCTCCCCAAAGAGCCTAGACCTGAGGCCGCCTCTTCCCCCGCACAAGTATCCACACTCCCCACCTGCTACTGGGTACGGGCGGGTGAAGCGCTCCGACCCTTGGCCCCTGAGCCAGCAGCGGCCGCAGAGCGCTGAGAGGGGACCAGCGGGACTGGCCGCCCGCCCTGCTCGGGCCCCCTCCTCTCGCTTGCCTTTCTCCTTGCTCGCTGCCTCCGGGCTGCTCCAGCGGGGGCCGGACAGGGCAGCGGCCGCTCTCCGCGACGCCCTCGCGCCCCGCATGCACACCTCCGCGGGCCCCCACACCTGCGGCGCCGCCACAAAGTTCCGGTGAGCGGCGTGCGCTCGGAACTGGGGTGCGCCCCGGCCAGACTCGGAGCAGCTCCCCAGCCCGGCCCCGCTCCACGTACCCCCGCCCCGCCCGGGGCCCGCGGAGCCGAGCGGAGGGGGCGAAGGGACGGGGGAGGAGCTCCCCTGGGCCGCCGCACCCCCGCGGCCTCGTCCTCCTTCTCGGCCGCGCCGCCTCCTCGCTCGCCGCGGCCCCCCGGCCCGCTCGCCCAGTTGCTGCCGCACGCCCCACCCCCGGAACCTCGCCTCCTTCCGCGCCCCCAACCGCTCTCCCCCGAAACTTTCCGCCAAGATGGCGGCCCCCGAGCTGGCCTGCCGCGCTCCCACGTGACCGCTTTCCCGGCGCTCTCAGCCAATGGGAAGTGAGGAGGCGGCTCGCGCCGAGCCCCGGGCTCCCCGCGCTGCTACCTTCGGGTTGGAAGGGGGAGGCGGGTCGGGGGAGGGCAGGGGAACGGAAGGGGTACCCGGGGAGCATCCTAAGGGAACCTCTTCGCTTAAAAGGGCGGCCGCTGAAGTGGCTCTGAGAACAAAGGAGTTAACACTCGGACTCCACAGGTGGCCCGGGGTGGCCCTGGAGGAGCCCGCCTTTACCTTGCCCTAGCCCACCGGCGCGTCCCGCAGTTCCGAACTAAACGCGCCAGGCCGGGAAGGCTCGGGCTGTCTGAAGAGAGGCGTGACCTCGCCTACACCAGATCCAAGGCGCACATACCGAGACACCCCTCAACCTCACTCAGCAGTGCCGTTTCCAACTCCGCGGCAGAGACAGCGCCTGGCGACCCCGGGGGTAGATCCCCACCGGGGAAAAGCCGCCTTAAGGAGGAGCCAACTGCACCTCCCAGGGGGCGGGGAGGGCGGGGCCTGGGAGAGGGAGAGGGAGGAGTTCGGGGAGGGGTGCCAACTCTGCATTGCCTTCCACTCCAGGCTGATTGTTAAGTTACTCTTCGTCCCTTAGTAATAGGCTTGGGGGGAGGGGTTTCATTACAGAAGGACATATGAAATAGAGACACTGGTTAACTTGGCAAGAGTTTGAGGGTTATAGTACAAGATTTTTAAGCCTAACTGATTAATTCCGAGTATGGTATACTTAAGGGTGGGCAGAGAAGGTTTGTTCATTCATTCGCTCATTCATTCATTCATTCATTTCCCTCAAGCCTGCGTCCCCGCCCGGTCAGCATCGCAGGTGTTACCCAAACTCTGACGGTCCCTTTAAGAACTCACCCGGAGTCGCGCCCTCCGAAGCTGAGCCGCCCTCGGCCAGCGCTGCAGGTTTGTTTCGTGCGCACCTCCGGGCGGAATTACCGGCCGGCTGGGACCCCGCTCCCGGTCTGAGCCACCCAGGTTATAGAAGGGGAATCTCGGGAAGCTTTCCAAGTCACTGCCCACGTCTTCGAACTTCCTCGGGGTGACGAGGACCTCCCTATTAGGAGGTCCAGAGAGAATTTGCCCAAAGTTACCCCGAGTGAGTGACAGAACTGGAAACCCGGAGATCCTGTCTTTCAAAACCGGAAGGCTCTTCCCAGTAAACCTGACGGCCTCTGACTGAGGCCGTATCCATTGGCTACCAAAGGGAAGGCCGAGGAACCTCGTATTGTAACCTTAACAGCTACTCAGAGGTATACTGACCACTGGTTTTACTTTTGGATTGCACCTTAGAATCCTAACTTACTGTAAGGACCCACCGACTTTAGAACCTATCTAGGACAAGGAACCGAGGTCCGGAAAAAGGGAAGCAACTTGTCCAAGGACATAGACGCTAATCAGTAACAGAGCAGCCGAGAACTCAGGTCTCCTAGCTCTAGTCCAGGGCTCTTTCTCTTGTGATTTTGGACAACTTGACAGAGAGGTATGTTGGTATGTTGGCAGCAGACCTCTGTGCTTTCCCGGATCAAGCATCCTGGGATCTTGAACAACAGTTAAAGCAACATTGCATAGAGAAAATGGGATAGAAGGGTCAAACGGTGCTGAAGGCAGAGGTGTCCTAACAGCCGGGAACTTAACAGAGGGACGGAATTTATTTAGTAGTGAAAGTGGCTCATGACAGGCATCATACTCTCAAGACTTCGCTGATGGACTGTGAATGGGATGGTTGCAGTAAGAAACCATTCTAACAATGGAATCTCTTCAGAATTCAGAAGAAACAGGGAGGGAAATTTGCCCTCTCCCTTGATAACATTTATTGTTCATATATGTTCACTTGCTAGGAAACGGGGATAGAAATAAATAAGATCCGAGTCCTGCTCTCAAGGATACACAGCCTTGTAGCAAGTACACAAAGGCCAATGCACCTTTTCCCAGGGGACACTGAGGAGTCAAAAACAAAATTTGTGTGAGTTCTCAATGTCATCCTAGCCTTCCCCTAAAAGCAAAAAGGAGGAAGGGGAGGAAAGAGGACGTGTCCTTTTTTCTTGTCATTCTGTGTGACAGCCCTATTTGGTTGTCAGCGGTGTACAAAAGCAGCAGTGAACCCAGCACTTGTTCTACCCTTAGCCTAAGGTGCCGGCAGCAAGTGCCTAGCAAATGAACATATATGAACAATGAATAAAGGCTCTTTACTCTTCATTCCTCCTTTCTACCCATCTTTATTAGTTACTTATTGCTGGATAAAAAAAAAGTTCCTCAAAGCTTAAGGGTTTAAAACTTATTAGCTTAGTAAGTTAAACAGCGATAAATATTATCTCAGTTTCTGTGTGTCAGGAATTCAGGAGCGGCATAGTTGGGTGGTTTTGGCTCAGGGCATTATGATGTTGCAGTCAAGAAGCCTGCCAGGGCTGCAGTCATCTGAAGGCTTCAGGGGGACTACGGGAGGCTCTTTCAGCATGGATCATTCACATAGCTAGTAAGTTGATGCTGGCTATTGGGCGGAGGCTTCAATTTCTCACCATGAAGACCTTTCTATAGGGCTGCTTGAGTGTCTTCATGACGTAGCGGCTGACGTCCAACAGAGCAAGTGATTCAAGATGGCGAGACAGAAGAAGCCACAATGCCTTTCATCACTTAGTCTCAAAAGTGACACTCTGTCATAGTCTGTTTGGGCTGCTATAACAAAATACCTTAGACTGGGTGATTTATAAACAACAGGAATGTATTACAGCTCTAGAGACTAAGTAGTCCAAGATCAAAACACCATCAGATGTGATCTAACAGTCATGAGAATAAAAATTAAAAAAAAAAAAATGGCCAGGCGCGGTGGCTCATGCCTGTAATATCCAGCACTTTGGGAGGCCAAGGCAGGTGGATCACGAGGTCAGGAGTTCAAGACCAGCCTGGCCAAGATTGTGAAACCCCGTCTCTACTAAAAATATAAAAATTAGCCAGGCATGGTAGCAGGCACCTGTAATCAACTATTCAGGAGGCTGAGACAGAGAATTGCTTGAATCCGGGAGGCGGAGGTTGCAGTGAGCCGAGATCGCGCCACTGCACTCCAGCCTGGGCGACAGAGCAAGACTCTGTCTTAAAAAAAAAAAAAAAAAAAAAAAAAAAAAAAAAAAAAAAAACACCAAGAGATTCAGTGTCTGGTAATAGCCCCATTCCTCATGAATGGAGCCTTCTTGCTACATCTTCCCATGGTGCAAGGGACTAACAAGCTCTATCTGGCATCTTTTATAAAGGCTCTAATCCCATTTAGAAGAGCTCCACTTTCAAGACCTAATCACCTCCCAAAAGCCTCATCTCTTAATATGATCACTTTGAAGGTGAAGATTTCAACGTATTAATTTAAGAAGGACACAAACATTCAGACCATAGCATACTCCATAATATCCGATCAGTTACTTAGATCAGCCTCAAGGATATGAATACCAGAAAGTAAGACTCACTGGAGGCCATCTTCTTGGAGCTGGCTACCACATCATCACAACATACAAAGCAATGACATCTGGATTTTTCTTTTCTTTTTTTTTTTTTTTAGACCGAGTCTTGCTCTGTTGCCAGGCTGGAGTGCAGTGGTACGATCTCGGCTCACTGCAACCTCTGCCTCCCGGGTTCAAGCTATTCTCCTGCCTCAGCCTCCTGGGTTGTTGGGACTACAGGCATGTGCCACCACGCCCAGCTAATTTTTTGTATTTTAGTAGTGACGGGGTTTCACCATGTTGGCCAGGATGGTCTCGATCTCCTGACCTCGTGATCCACCCGCCTCAGCCTCCCAAAGTGCTGGGATTACAGGTGTGAGCCACTGCACCCAGCCCTGACATCTGGATTTTTCTAAGCAACTTTTATTTCCTCAAAGTTTTCCTTACTTTGTGCAGTGAGCAGCTGCCATTGAATAGGACACAATATTGGATCTAATTTTCCAACTTCCTCATTAAATATATATATATATACACACACACTATATCTATCTATCTATCTATCATCTATCTATCTATCTATCTATCTATCTATCTATCTATCTATCTATATCTGTCCTATCTGTCTGTCTATCGATAGTTAGATAGACGAATAGAAGAAGTTACTTCAACAAAATACTAGCAGGTAAAGCTGTTCACTTTCCAGCTCCAAGTTAACTTGCCTTTTGAAGAGCTTAAAAGGCTTCGGAGTCAAAGACCATGGGGAAAGGCTCAGATTTCCCATTCTTTTATTGAAATGTCAGAGAGTCAATGTCAAAGATACTGTCTCTAAGTTCCAACCCTTCCCTTCCCAACCATCCTGCCCAAGCCACCTTTGCAGCTTCACATCTCTGTCTTTGTCTTCTCCTCCATCTAGGCCCCAGCTTATAAATCTATGAAGGTGTCCAGGTCCTGCCAGACTCCGCTGCATCTTTTGCTTTCACTCCAGCAGGGTAGCAGCATGCTGCCTGTGCCAAGGCAATCACTAAAAGGAAAGGATTTAATGCTGTCAAAAAAGCTTATGCCAGCTTAGGCTGCAGGAAGAGGAACAGTGTCAAGTATGTTGAAAGTGGACATATTGGTCAGACCTCCATGAGAGCCTAGGGGGCATTGCTTAGCAGCACGCTTTTAAAGGAATCTGAACAAACCAGCATGTGGAAAGAAGAGAGTAACCACAGCAATCAGGAAACAACTGTACAATCTAGGGCCATTTCATTGGAAAAACAGAAGTCTCCAGGGAGCTGCAGTCATCAAACAGGCTTATTCTGTGTACCCAGTGGGCAAGTACAGTCAATGGATGAAAATTCAACCAATGGACAAACACAGGAAGTTTTTCCTTAACATGAGTTGTCAGAAACTGTCCAAAATTCCAAAGAGCTGCCTCAAGGTAGTGGAAATTTTTTTTTTTTTTTAATCAGGAAGGTGCTGAATGAAGCCAGCAAGGATTCTGTGTCAGAGGGTGGTAGATACCCAGGACATAAGGTTGAACCACGTGACCTCTGAGACCACAGTTCTAAGCTGTTGAAACCTCAGTCCCTGCTGAATACTGAAATGGTATTAGCACCCTTTAGTCTACATCAAGAATTCGTTCTACCCAGTTTTGGTGGTACCAAGACTGATCTCTTTCTCATAGATAATTCTTAACAGAATAAAAGCTACAGGTTGAAACCAATTCCCTTTAAAATGTGGACAGTTGACCATCTCCATGATAGGTAGTTAGGCACTGAATTAATGCTTTTTAATGGAAGAGCCACCCTAAGATTCCTGGAGTGTGGTATAATGGAGTACTAAATCAGCATAGGACTAATAACTGCCTCCCGTGTAAACTGGTCTATCCGGAGAGTGGTATAGCCTCTCATACAGTGTTCAAAGGCAGATTTAACTCACTGCAGGTCCACAGCAACCGATAAGATAAACTCGTTGGTTATGGTCTCCCACTTTGCAAAGGAGAGCACAGAGGAAGAGGAAACTGAGATAACTTGGTTTAGGACCCCACAGCTGGCTGGAGCTGGGCTGAACATTAGTTCATTGTTTCTTCGATTAATCTATGCTGCTTTTTCTCTACTTGGCTCCTTTTCTAAATTAAACAAAACAAAACAAAAAACACTGGGCACAGAGTGGTGTATATGTGTGTGAGAGAGAGACAGAGATAGAGAAAGACTAAGCGAAAGAGAAAAGAGAGAGGCTGAGTGAGATTCAGATAAAATAAGGCACAAGTCATGGGCTAGTCTGTTGTACAGTGTACTTGTCATATATTTGAATGCCTTTAACAATGGAGACAGTTTTGATGGAAATAGGGCCTTGAAGAAATGCATATCCGCACCCTGGTGGTATGTTATAACTAAACGGGTTGGTTTTTTGTTTCGGAGTTTTTTGGGTTTCTTTTTAATGCAAAGGTATATATTTAAAATACCCTGTAGCTTCCTTCTCTCCTTCATTTCATTTCCTTAAGTATGAGAGAGGTTTTCTGGATGACGGGACATCCAAACTGGAAGTGCCCTCAGATCCCATCAACTCCCATCCCCATGTTTGAGAAGCACGTAAAGTAAGCTCCAGAAGAGCTCCCAGACAACGTCGGCACACAATTATCAGAGGACTTTTCCCTGATGGCAGAAAGCTACTGACATTTCCAGAACCATCCATCTTTCTTTTAGAGAGAAGGGGCTGGGGGTAAGGAGAAATTAGTAATCTTTTCTAGAGATACGTTTCTAAGTTTAACCAAATTTGCTTTTCTGCTTTTGAAGAACTTGTGGTATTGACAGAACCGTAGGATCCCATATGGAAATCCTCAGGATTATACTAAAATCTCCTTACATGAAACAACCTCTTCACCCCACCCCCTGCCAAGAGAATGACCATTGTCTGTTCACAGAAGGCTTTGGCCAGGGCCCTTCAGTCAGATTATCCTTATGTAGGTAGAGAAGATAAACTTGGAAACTTAATTGGAATTTGAAGAAATGCTATTAGAATTTTAGGAAGTCATTTGTATTCCATTTCTGAGATATGACCTGAATAGAATTCTGGTAAGTGGAGAAGCCAGAAGATTCTTCATAATTATATGTGGACTGTGTCCAGTGACCAATCTCATTTAGGATGGAAAACTGCCACAACCTTCCAAAACAAAGACCTGTGTGCCAGTCTTTCATTTTTGGGAAGTGACACTCACTAGGGCTGTCATTTTCCTATTCCTCATGTTGTATAACCCTAAATTCCTTTATTATTTTCTTCTATTTTACACTCACAAGAACGGTAACGATAATGAATCATTTAAATCTTGCTTTCTATTTAAATTTTCTTTAGATTAAATTAATTTCTTCCCAAGACAATTTTATCAACTGAGATTAAATATTTGTGATTAAAGCATCTTCTGCCTTTTATAAATAAATTGGGCGGCAGTTGAAGAAACTTTTCCAAATATGCTTTTTAAAAATCCTGCAAAATTTTCCCAAGTTGGATATCATTTCAACTTGCAAATTACCACATGAATAAACAAAGCCAAGCTCGAAGGGAGTAGGAGACAATGAGTCAAAAATTTAAAAGGGATGGGCCTTTACCAATTACTAATGAAGATGAACAAAGCAATTTAAGAATAAGAGAGAAGTAAATATTTAATAAGAAATGCTACCATAATAATTTGGAGAAGCTTGGGTTCAAAAGAGCAGAATAAAGCTGTATCTCTATTCTTTTTTTCTCTTGGAAAAAGACTCCAAAAATATTAGAACAAAGAGAAACTTGTTCCTCCATCCTTAATAAAAAGAAGAGTGGCTAGGCGCGGTGGCTCACACCTGTAATCCCAACACTTTGGGAGCCCAAGGCAGGTGGATTGCTTGAGGTCAGGAGTTTGAGACCAGCCTTACCAACATGGTGAAACCCATCTCTATTAAAACTACAAAAATTAGCCAGGCATGGTGGTGCCCGTCTGTAATCCCAGCTACTCAGGAGGCTGAGGCAGGAGAATCGCATGAACCCGGGAGGCGGAGGTTGCAGTCAGCTGAGATTGTGCCACTGCACTCCAGCCTGGGTGACAGAGCAAGACTCCATCTCAAAAAAAAAAAAAAAAAAAAAAAAGGAATTTAGATGCCCAGGCTCCCACATATTCAGACCGGTGACCATCTTCCCTCACTCCTCCAAAAGGCAAGAATTTGATTTATTGGAGAATAAGAGAAGTTTTAGATTTGGAACTACTAGACTCAGAGGAAGATGGTGGTGCATTATAGTACAGGAAACTAAGGGAAAATCTGTGTATTGAACAGAGATAACTCCCTCACACCCACCTCCTTCTTCCTGCTAGCCATAGCTGGAGTACCCTTCAGAGAGAAAAATGGAATTGCCTCAGAAAGATCAGTAGATACTCATAGTTGGAAGGCTTACAACGAAAGCCTAAGCCATCAGAAAAATGCAAATAAAAACCACAGTGAGGTAGACTTCACACCCACAAGGATGGCTCTGATCAAAAAGACACAGCTGTTACCATCATAACAAGTGCTGCAAAGGATGTGGAGAAATCAGAACCCCCATACACTGCTGCTGGGACTGTAAAATGGTGCATCCACTTTGGAAAACAGTCTGGGAGTTTTTTGAACACTTGGACATGTAATTTCCATAGGATGTGACAATTCCACTCCTAGGTATACACCAAAGACAACTGAAAACACGTGTCTATACACAAATATTCATTACAACATTATTCGTAATAGCTAGAAAGTGGAAACAACGCAAATACCCATGAATTGGTAAATGGAAAAATAAAATTGGTACGCCCATGTAACATAATATTATTCAGCAAAATAAAGAAGTGAAGTACTGATACATGCTATGACATGAGTGAACCTTGAAAACATTATGCTGAGTAAAAGAAGCAAGTTACAAAAGACCACATACTGCAAATTCCATTTAGATGACATATCCAGAAAAGGCAAATCTGTAGAGAGAAAAAGTAGATTAGTTGTTGCCTAGGGTTGAGGAGCATGGGATGGAAGGGGTTGGAAGGTGAGGGCTAAGGAATGAGGTTTTTTTATTTTAATAAAAATGTTCTAAAATTAACAGTGGTTTTGGACTCACAGTTCTGTGAATATACTAACAGCCATTGAACTGTGCAGTTTAAATGGGTGAATTGTATGGTGTGTGAGTTATATCTCAATAAAGCTGCTTAAAAAAAATGTCAAGCTGGTCATTTTATTGCCCTTCAAGAATGCAGACCAGGCCAGGCACGGCCTGTAATCCCAGCACTTTTGGGAGGCTGAGGTGGGCGGATCACCTGAGATCAGGAGTTCGAGACCAGCCTGGCCTATATGGTGCAACCCTATCTCCACTAAAAATACAAAAATGAGCAGGGCGTGGTGGTGGGTGCCTGTAGTCCCAGCTACTCAGGAAGCTGAGGCAGGAGAATCACTTAAACCCAGGAGGCGGAGGTTGCAGTGAGCTGAGATCGAGCCACTCCACTCCAGCCTGGGCAACAGAGTGAGAATCTGTCAGAAAAAAAGAATGCAGACCAATCAATGAGCCTCTCAAATATCTCAAATATACACAGAGCCTCCAATCAGCTCAGCTTTCAACAGGAGGAGCCAACCAAGGGTCACCACACATTATGAGAAGGCTTTCAACCTGAGGCTGGACATGGCGGCTCACGCCTGTAATCCCAGCACTTTGGGAGACTGAAGTGGGTGGATCACTTGAGGTCAGGAGTTCAAGACCAGCCTGGTCAACATGATAAAACCCCATCTCTACTAAAAATACAAAAATTAGCCAGGTCTGGAGGCATGAGCCACTGCACCCAGCCTCACTAGGAAGATTTAAATGTGGTTCTGCCTATAGACAATTTTAAAATTACTTCTCAGAACCTTTCCAAATTTAATATGTATGTGAGTCCCTAAAATTCCTGGAAACAAATAGAAGATCCCCTTAGAGTGAAAAAGTCAAGTTTCTTCCTCCTCCTAATGACAAAACTCCATGTAAAATCACTATTTAGGCTAGGCACAGTGGCTCACGCCTGTAATCCCAGCACTTTGGGAGGCTGAGGCAGGTGGATCACCTGAGGTCAAGTGTTCAAGACCAGCGTGGTCAACATCGTGAAACCCTGTCTCTACTAAAAATACAAAAATGAACCGGGCATGGTGGCAGGTACCTGCAATCCCAGCTACTCAGGAGGCTGAGGCATGAGAATTGCTTGAACCCGGCAGGCAGAGGTTGCAGTGAGCTATTGCGCCACTGTACTCCAGCCTGGGCGACATAGCGAGACTCCTTCTCAAAACAAACAAACAAAAACGAATGGATTTAAACAAGTTGGCAAGTCACTTTGCGTGCCACTACATTTTGAAATGTCAAGGGGGATTGGGATGAGAAAGTAATTCAAGAAATTGCTATATATGATGAAAGACTGAATACACACCAGACCATATATGACAACAGAACTCTGTGATCCACAACCTCTGCAGCAAGCAACCCAGGAAATCAGACAACAACCACTGCAGTAATTGGCCTAAAATAATCAGAACTTGGTCAATGACTGCCAGCTTCCCTATTTTTTTTTTTTTTTTTTTGAGACGGAGTCTCACTCTGTCGCCCAGGCTGGAGTGCAGTGGCGCGATCTCGGATCACTGCAGGCTCCGCCTCCCGGGTTCACACCATTCTCCTGCCTCAGCCTCCCGAGGAGCTGGGACTACAGGCACCCGCCACCACGCCCGGCTATTTTTTTTGTATTTTTTAGTAGAGACGGGGTTTCACCATGTTAGCCAGGATGGTCTCGATCTCCTGACCTCGTGATCCGCCTGCCTCGGCCTCCCAAAGTGCTGGGATTACAGGCGTAAGCCACCACGCCCGGCCCAGCTTCACTAATTTTTACCATCTTTCAACTCAAGGCCAATCAGAGAAAGGCAAGTATTCTCCCTAAATCAATCATACAAAATGCCTTGCTTCTAGTTATCTTGCCTCCAGCTTTTCCATACCTGAGGATCTCCTTTTCTCTTCTTTTAATTATAAAGCTTTCCTACTCCCTTGCCTGCCTTTGAGCCTCTGCCAAATGCAAGTGACGGTGCTCACTCCCTCGCTATAGCAAGCTCTGTATAAATAGCCTCTGTTCTCATTCAGGTGGTCATCACTTACTTCCACAGACAGGGAAAGTTCCTAAAAACAGACAGAAAAATTGTTTAGTCTGCTACTTTAATAAAAGCCTTATTCATCAGGTCATTCAGTAAACTAATCTGTATGATGCAACTACTATGAGCCAGGAACTAAAACAAATTCTATTTCTCTAGGAAAATTTGTCTGAGAAGGAAATTGCAAAGCTGAAGCCTTGGGACTTGAAAATTCAAATCTTCCGTCTTTGTTTATGGTCTGTAGCAGGCAAACAACTTCGAACTTCTCAAGGTTGCTTGGCTAAACACGAACGAGTGGATGAAGAGAACACCTCAGCAATAAATATAATGCCTGGAAAAGAATTTTACTAAGAACAATGTTTTTTATGCCACTTTTTAATTTTTTTAAAAATTTCTCATTACCTCTGAAGATTTGTGACACTATTGTTTGAGCCATTATTTTTTAAATGATACATATAACTGCTTGTCTAGGATGGTTTCTCTTTCTTTCTCTTTCTCTCAATTATCTTCAGTTTTCTAATCTAGACCACAAAGTTCTCCATTAATAAAGTTGGCAAACAAAGTGTCTGAAAACATTTTGTTACAGGGAATGATATTCTGCTAAGTTTTACTGAAGATGGAATTTTCATTAGTACTGCTAATGAACCATTCTTATTCCTTTTGGGAACTATGATTTATTAAAAGAATTGTACGTTTTTTAAAAACACCAAAAGAATTACACTCATTCATTTTCAATATGACTAGGGTATTTGCAATAGAAAACTTAGTGAGTATTCCCTAAAGTCACGGTGGCTTTTAAACACTGCATAATTCTGGGTATTAACATCAGGAAAGCATTGCACTGTTCCTCATTAGAAGGATAATGCCATTATAATAGCTTTACTCTGAGGCATAAAGCGGTTAAATGAAGCACCAGAAAAGGAAAAGCAAAAGTTTGTTTGGTGAATCATTCTTTTCTATGGTTTGGTGACCCTAAATTGAGCCAGAAAAGAATGCAGCTAGTGGCTTAATTTGAAGAATTTCCCAAGGAAATGATGCAATACTGTACAATTCTTATTGGTCTCTAACCTCTGGGATCTCTGTTCATGAAGCTGCCTATTAACACAGCTTTGCAAGTTAATTGTGAACAAATCAGGAGAGAATAAAAACTCAAACATAAATCTCTGATCTAACCACTTCATTTAGGAAGGGATTTGGAAGATCTTCTCGGACCAGTGTTTTTGATTCTCTTCTTTGCATTGTGACCTTATACTGGAAACTCAGGTGTGACTGCTATTATTCTGGTCCCAAGTGCCAGGAAGTTCAGATCAGGTTGAGGGCAAGCTCAGGCCAGGGTGACTCTGAGGTCAGGCTATTCACATGTCTTTTCTTAGGCTAGGATCGCTTGAGGAACACAACCACGTTGCTGGGGTTAATAGATCTATTCTCCAAAGCCAAAGTATTTGGCATGGTCAGCATAATTGTACTGTGTGTTGCAATTGGGCTCTGAGCACAGAGTCTTGCTGAGTGCCTTATGAATTTGGTCATGGAGAGAAGGCTGGTGCAGGAGTGAGCAAGGGAAACTCCTATTCAGAGAAAGTTTTTACTCCAGAAATCACCATTCCTTAGGAGAAGATTGCTTTAAAAAATTTTTTTTTAAATTTTTTATTTTTTGAGTTGGAGTCTCACTCTGTCGCCCAGGCTGGAGTGCTATGGAGGGATCTTGGCTCACTGCAACCTCCGCCTCCTGGGTTCAAGCGATTCTCCTGCCTCAGCCTCTCCAGTAGCTGGGATTACAGGCACCCGCCACCACACCCGGCTAATTTTTTGCCATGTTGGCCAGGCTGGTCTCGGACTCCTGACCTCAGGAGATTTACCCGCCTCAGCCTCTCCAGTAGCTGGGATTACAGGCACCCGCCACCACACCCGGCTAATTTTTTGCCATGTTGGCCAGGCTGGTCTCGGACTCCTGACCTCAGGAGATTCACCCGCCTCAGCCTCCCAAAGTGCTGGGATTACAGGTGTGAGCCATCGTGCCCGGCACTTTAAAATCCTTGACTCCAGTCTTCTTTAATGTAAAAGATAGCTTTCCAGGGACGTGATTAGATCAGAGATTTTATTGCACGAATAACAAACTCTTTTAGCCAGTCCAGAGCGAGCATTAGCAGCAGCATTACTGCATCAGTCCCTCTGCCCCAAGGAAATCCCTCCTGTCCATATAGGATGCTATTGAGGATAATGCTGATGGATAATGCCCTTGGTGGCTGTAGAGGGAGCCTGGGTCTCCAGAGGCTCTAGAGATTGGTCAATGCACCAAGCTTAGTTATCAATGAAAAGATTGCTTATCATGCCATTGCGCTCCAGCCTGGGCAACAAGAGAGAAACACTTCAAAAAAAAAAAATTGCTCGCTTTCAAGTAGGAAATGTGAAAGCCTTAAGAACAAGAAAGGCTCAATTCTTCAATCAGTTCAGTTCAGTTCAAGCAATATTTAATACCATCTATTCACAGATGAATACAAAGATGAATATGGCACAGCTCTTGCCTTCAAGAAACTTAGAGTTAAATGAAGGAGGTCCATAGAAACAGATAATTTAAGTCTAACTTGATAGGCAATAAGAGAGGAAGCCCTGGGCTGAGCCCTGAAGGTCTGATAAAGCAGTCAAAGGAAGAAGGGTGGAAATACGTTTCCAGACTGGGAAGAGGAGAATGAAAGGCAGCAATGAGGCCTGGGAAATTCAGAGGCAAGCCTGTTACAGTGAGGGTTCTTCCTGCTATTACAGATTTAGGAGTCTAGATTTCTTTGGTTTCTGAGATGAGGAGTCTGTCTCTCCATTTGCATGTGATGGCATCATGACCTTTACCGTCAGAAGCTGTATTCAGCACCTCCACTGAAGTCCCTGCTGAAGCATTGACAATGTCTTCCTACACAATGGTTTAGCCTTCATCTTTCTCTTCCTTCCCTTTTCCCCCTTAAGTTCTCATATCATTTGACATTTCTCCCTCCCTTTTTGTTGCTTCCTCCTGAGCTTCTCCAAAATGACCTCATTTAAAAAATATTTTATAAGTTATATATATTTGCACAATGGAATGTCACATTACCAACAAAGGATGACAGAGAGCTACATTAAACAATGTGGATAAGCTTTCGAAACGTAGTGCAACTTTTTTCTCCTGTATTTTATTTTTTAGGATTATTGAGATATAATTGGCAAATAGAAGTTACGTATATTTATAGTTCACAATGTAATATCCTGGTAGATCTAAAAGTTGTGAAATAATTACTTTCAGCTAATTAAAGTATCCATAACCTCACATGTTCATCATTTTTTGATGGCAAGAACATTTAAAATCTACTCTTTCAGCAATTTTCAAGTCTACACAATGCTATTATTTATTTATTTATTTACTGAGATGGAGTCTCACTCTGTCACCTAGGCCGGAGTGCAGTGGCACAATCTCGGCTCACTGCAACCTCCACCTCCTGGGTTCAAGCAATTTTTCTGCCTCAGCCTCCCGAGTGGCTGGGGTTACAGGCACGTGCCACCACGCCAAGCTAATTTTTGTATTTTTCGTAGAGACAGGGTTTCACCATGTTGGTCAGGCTGGTCTTGAACTCCTGACCTTGTGATTCACCCACCTCAGCCTCCTAAAGTCCCGGGATTATAGATGTGAGCCACCACGCCCGGCCCACAAAGTTATTATTAACTATAGTCACTGTGCTGTAAAATACTTGTTCATCCTGTCTAACTGTGAGTTTGTATCCTTTGGCCAATGTTATCCCATTTTCCATACACACACCATATCCCCTGGCAACCACCATTCTACTCTGCCTATGGTTTGGGGGTCATATCCAAAAAAGTCATTGCTCAGATCAATGTAATAGAGCTTTTCCCCATGTTTTCTTCTAGTAGTTTTACCAGTTTCAGCTCTTCAGTCTAATCCTTTCTGATTTGTTTTTTATATACTGTATGAGATAAGGGTGCAATTTTTTTCTTCTGTGTGTCAATATCCACTTTTCCCAACACCATTTATTGAAGAGACGGTGCTTTCCACATTGTGTCTTCTTGGCAACTTTGTCAAAGATCAATTGACTGTAAATATATGAAGTTATTTCCAGGTTCTCTATTCTGTTCCATTGGTCAATATGTCTGTTTTTATGCCAGTACCATGCTGTTTAAATTACTAAAGCTTTACAGTATATTTTGAGATGAGGTAGTATGATGCCTCTAGCTTTATTCTTTTTGCTCAAAATTATTTCTGTAAAAATATTACTGGACTCTTGATAAGGATTGCATTAATTCTACAGATCTCTTTGGGCATTTAGCAATGACCAAAGTATGGACATTTTAACAATATTAATTTTTCTAATTCATTAATTTTTCATTGATCTTTTATTTATTTGTGTCTTCTTCAATTTATTTCATCAATGTTTTATAGTTTTCAGATCGTTCATCTCACTCTCTCCTGGCCTGCAGTTTCTGCTGAGAAACCCACTGATAGCCTTATGAGGGGTGATCTTTTTTCTCTTGCTGCTTTCAGGATTCTCTCTTTATCTTTGTTTTTGTTTTTTTTTGTTTTTTTTTTACAGTTTGATTGCTATATATCTTGGTATAGTCTTCTTTTAGTTGAATCAGATTAGAGACTTTTGATCTTCCTGTACTTGGATGTTTATATCTTTTCCCAGATTTGGGAAGTATTCAGGAATTATTTCTTTAAATAAGCCCTCTGTCTCTTTCTCTCTCTCTCTTCATCTTCTTTTCCTGCCCCCCGTCCCCCATTTATTTTAGCTTCAGGGGTACATGTGCAGGTTTGTTACAGGGGTAAATTGCCTGTCCTGGGGGTTTGGTGTACAGATTATTTCATCACCTGGGTAACAGGCATAGTACCCGATAGATAATTTTCTGATCCTCACCCTCCTCCCACCCTCCACTCTCCAGTAGGCCCCCTGTGTCTATTGTTTCCTTCTGGAAGAACGGACTCTGGATATTAGACCTTTGTTGGATGAGTAGTTTGCGAATATTTTCTCCCATTCTGGAGGTTTGTCTGTTTACTCTGTTGGTAGTTTGTTTTGCTGTGCAGAAGCTTTTTTGTTTAATTAGGTCCCATTTGTCAATTTTTGTTCTCGTTGCAATTGCTTTTGGCATCTTCATCATGAAATCTTGTCAGTGCCTATGTCCAGAGTGGTATTTCCTAGGTTTTCTTCTACGGTTTTATAGTTTTAGGTTTTACACTTAAGTCTTTAATCCATCTTAAGTTGATTTTTGTATATGGTGAAAGGAAAGAGTCCAGTTGCAATCTTCTGCATATAGCTAGCCAGTTACCCTAGCACCATTTATAGAATAGAGAATCCTTTTCCCATTGCTTGTTTTTGCTGACTTTGTCAAAGATCAGATGGTTGTAGGTGTGCAGCTTTATTTCTGGTTCTAATCACATTTATTGATTTGCATGTGTTGAATGAACCTTGCATCCCAGGAATAAAGCCTACTCGATTGTGGTAGATTAGCTTTTTGATGTGTTGCTGGATTCAGTTTGCTAGTATTTTGTTGATGATTTTTGCATCTCTGTTCATCAGGGATATTGATGCTTTCTTTTTTTGTTGTGTCCCTGCCAGGTTTTGGTATCAGAATAACATTGGCCTCATAGAATGAATTAGGGAGGAGTTCCTCCTCCTAAATTTTTTGGAATAGTTTCAGTAGGATTGGTACCAGCTCTTCTTTATATGTCTGGTAGAATTTGGCTGTGAATCCATCTGGTCCAGAGCTTTTTATGGTTGGTAGGCTTTTTATTACTGATTCAGTTTCAGAACTTATTATGTTCAGGGTTTCAATGTCTTCCTAGCTTAATCTTGGGAGGTTGTATGTTTCCAGGAATTTATCCATTTCTTCTAGGCTTTCTGGTTTGTGTGCATAGAAGTATTGGTGATAGTCTCTGAGGGTTTTTTTTGTATTTCTTTGAGGCAAAATGACCTCATTTTGTAAAACAGTGAATTCTAAGCTGAATTTAGTTCTCTAAGATGGCCCCATTCATGAGAAACCTTCCAGTTCCCAGCATACTGCTCCTAGGGTATTTAAACACCTTGGCATAAGGCTGTCTGGGGAGCGAGCCCATCAAACAAGTGTTGGGTTACTAGAAAGTCACCCTAGTTGAGAAGGAGACTAACAGGGATGGATGGCACAGTGAGGAAGAGAAAAAGAGAGGGAAGAAGGTGGTAGTAAGGACTGGGGCTCTCCTGGTTAACAGCCACTCTCTTGACATTTCCAGCTCCTTCTGCAGATCCAAGCTCACCTATATGAGGATTATTACTTCTTGGAATCAAAAGAAGTGATTGACACCATTACCAAAGCATTCTTTAAAGATCTGCCATTTTATGGGGTGCACCTAAGAATTCCTTTTTCTTTAATATTTTCTTCTAGTTTATGTGCTCAGTGAAGAAACATTAGAAAACAGAAAAGCACTAAGAAAAAAAAAATTAACCAAACTCACACAAGCCAAAGATAACAGCCAACTAACATTTGCTGTAGATATGTCTAGTATTTTCCATGCATATATATATATATATGTTTCTTAGAAAAATAGTATCATACATGTTATTTTGTAGTCTGCTTTTTTTAAGGAATTTACATTTATTTTATAGCTTCAAAAAGGCTTGGTGCATGATAATGACAGAAAATTAAGGATCTATACAAGGGATATTTACCCCCGGGAAGATGTATGTTACAACTCAGTTAATGCGTCAAATGTTAAATGTTGTGATACCGGCGTTTTATTTAGATGTTTCCCATTTATGATGATTGTTAAACATACATCACATGTCTACACAGACATACACCTTCCAAGCTGGGAATCAGGTCTGAGTGATCCTGTCGGTGTTCTGCCCACAATTTCATGAGTGACCTTAAGCAAATCAACTCAATGCTGCTTCTCTAGATAAAGTCCCAATCTTGTCTGGCACATCCAGCCGTAAAAACTCCTATCCAGTTCCCGGAATGTACCATGCTCTTCCGTGCTGCCATATTTTTTAACATCATTTTTTGGGGGGCCTAAAACACTCCTTCCTATCTGCCTCATTAACTCTTCATTATCTTTGTAAATTAAAAAAAATTTAAATTATAGTAAAATAGATATAAAATACACCATCTTACCCTTTTTTTTTTTATTCTGAGACAGAATCTCACTGTCACCCCAGCTGGAGTGCTGCACTGGCGTGATCTCAGCTCACTGCAACCTCTGCCCCCCCGAGTTCAAGAGATTCTCCTGCCTCAGCCTCCTGAGTAGTTGGGATTACAGGTGCCTGCCACCATGCCTGGCTAATTTTTGTACTTTTAGTAGAGATGGGGTTTCACCATCTTGGCCAGGCTGGTCTTGAACTCCTGACCTCATGATCCACCTGCCTCGGCCTCCCAAAGTGCTGGGATTAAAGGCGTGAGCCACCGCGCTGGGCCTTACCCATCTTTAAGTGTACAGTTCAGCAGTGTTATGTACATTCCCATTGTTGTGCACCCGATCCCCAGAGCTCTTTCATCTTGCAAAACTGAACCTGTACACACATTAAACAGTGTCTCTGCATTCCTCCCTCTCCCCGCTGCGAGCGATCGCTGTTCTACCTTCCGCCTCTAGGAATTCCACTGCTCTAGATGCCTCATGCACGTGGACTAATACGGTATTTGTCTTCTTTGTAGCTGGCTTATTTCACTTAGCATAATGTTCTCAAGGTCCAACCATGTGGTAGCACGTATCAGAATTTCCTTCCTTTATAAGGCTGAATTAAATTCCATTGTATGTATGTACCTCATTTTGTTCATCCATTCATCTATGGATGGACATTTGGGTTGTTTTTATTGTTGGTTGCTATAAACATGTGTGGACAAATTATCTCCTCAAGACCCTACCTTTAATTCTTTTGGGTATACACCCAGAAGTGAAATTGCTGGATCAATTGCTGATGGTCATTCTATTTTTGTAGCCTCCTTTTAAAACTTTGCTTTTTAGTACTTATTTTCCCCAAATTAATAATTTCTCAGGTAAATAAGAAACCAATCTTTTACAGAATAGTTTTTTTATCATCCATAGAGTGTTTTATCAAATGGCCATACTTATTAAATTGGTTGCTTCCAGATTTCCATTATGAAAAACCATGCTAGATAAACAAATGTTTATCCATAAGATGAATTCTTGGAAGTGAAATTACTGGATTAAGAGGTGTACATTTTAAAAATATTGATGCATAGTGTTATGGTATATGTACAAACTTCTAAAGGTTTATTTTTATGAAGCATCAGCCTCTGTTGCCAGCACTCTGTATAAGCAGGGCAAAGGCTGGCAGCTTAAGTACTCTCTAGTCTTTTTAAACTTTACCCTCAAAGAAAATAAATCTTTATACCAAAATTCTTATTCAGAAGTGAAAGTGTTATATAAGTCATCATTGACAGTAAACACAGTGAATGATCAGATCTTGCTGCTTAAATTTTAAATTAATATAAGTAATATCAAATCCATTTTTAAATGGTCCTCCCTCAGTAAACATAAAAAGTTCCTTCAAATTCATATATTATTTTTCAGATTACAAACCACTTCCACTTATGTTTTCTTACATATTCCTTATAGTTAGTTATTGTTTTCCCTGGTTTACACATGAAGAAATCGAGGCCCAGAGAAGTGACTTGCCTGAGGCAACAGAGCTGATAATCAGTGTCTTCTAGTTCCAAGTACATTGCTTTTCAAGCTGCGGATGACTCATCTTAACCAGTCCTTGAGGTCTTGTAGTAAGTAAGCATAGTGGAGACTTTTCCAAGCTTCTTTTTCAAACCAGAAAGAGGTAGTCGTGGTTTTTGGAAAGTAGCTAAAACTATGATTTAATAAGAGGGAATTTTGTAGCCAAAACCTAGTACATAAAATATAAATAGCCCTCCTTCTTTCCCCTAGAATTGTGCGATGCCCTTTGTGGTGCTGGTATGGCATGGTGTCAAACGTGTGGGCTCCGGCGTCATCCTGCTTGGACTGGAATGTTGGCACCAGGATACTAATTTTGTGATCTGAACAAGTCAACCTCTCTGCACTTCCATTTCCTTACCTGCAAAATGTGTAACAAGACCTCCCATCTCAGTGGAATGTTGTGAGGATTGGATGAGATAATGTCGGTAAAGTAATTAGCACTGTACCTGGCGCAGGCTCACTGCCTGATACATAGTAATCCTTACTACTAGGTGTTAAGGACCTAAGTAACACTGTTCCTCTGTTTTATCCTGGGGAGAAGGGTACATGAAATGGGCTAGTGAACAAGTTAAGAGAGAAAATAGCCTTCTCTGATCCCTCGGCTGATTAAAGAAGGTAATTAGAGGCTTCTCTAGTAAAGTGTAGGCTCATATCGTTCAGTTCAAATATTTTTTAAGTCTCCCTAGTTATTTCTTCTGTTACCAACGGGTTATTTAGTAGTTATGTTGTTAAACTCCAAATGGTTGAGGATTTCCATATATCTTCAGTTATTAATTTCTATTTTAATTCTGTTGTGATCAGAGACGGTGAATGTTCAATGTGTACTTTAAAAGAACGTGTATTCTGCTGTTTTGGGAAATATTGTTCTAGAAAACGTAATGAGTCAAATTGGGTGATAGTGTTCTTCATGTTTTCTATAACTGGTTTTTTGTAACTTGTTCATGTTTTCTATTGCTATTGTTTTTCTATTTACTTTGTCTATCAATTATTGAAATAGGACTTTGTGGAAAATTCTAACTATATGTGAATTCCTCTAATTGCCCTTTGCCCTTTGTTAGTTTTTGTTTCATGTGTTTTAAAGCTTTGTTATTAACTGCACATCCATCTAGAATTGTTACATCTTGCTGAATTAACTCGTCTACATTATGAAATACCCGTCTTTATTACTGTAATACCCTTGGTCCTGAAATCTATTTTGTCTGATATTAATATTGTTGCTCCAGTTTTCTTATAGTCAGTGTGTAATGTATCTCTTTCTACCTTTTTTACTTTTAACCAGCTTGTCTTCATATATTTAAACTCCTTTTTTTGTAGAAAGTATTAAGTTGAATGTTGCCTTTTTATCCATTATGATAATATCTGCCTTTTAATCAGGATGTTATGACTATTTACATGTAATATAATTACACTGATTACATTTAATATAATTAAATCAATTAATATAATATACTATAACATAATATAGTTAGGTGTAACTCTACAAGCTTACTTCTTTTTTTTTTTTCTGCTTGACTCATCTGTTCTTTGTTCCTTTACCTCTTCTTTTCCTGACCTCTTTTGGAGTAAGTGATTTATTTCTTAGGATTCTATTTTATCTCCACTGTTCCCTTACTAGCTATAATTCTGTTTTATGTTTTAGTGGTTGCTATAGGGCTTGTAATATGTATTTTTAACTTACCACAACCCACCTTCAAATAATATTAGCACTTCAAGCATAGTATAAAAACTTTACATCAGTGTATTTCCATTTTCCTTCTTAGGTCCTTCATATCAATGCTGTACATTTTAGATTCCTATTTATTGCAAAATCCACAATATGTCATTATTAACTTTGCTTAGAACAGGCCATTTAAATTTAAATATAGTAAAAATCGGAAAAAATCTTTTATATTTACCCACCTATCTACCATTTTCAGAACTCTTCATTCCTTAGGTAAGCCTGAGTTTCTGTCTGGTTCCTTTTCCTTCTGCCTGAAGATATTCTTTTTAACATTTATTATAGTGAAAAATCTGCTGGCAATTACTTCTCTCAGCTTTTTAAAATCTGAAGATGTCTTTATTTTATCTTTGTTTTTAAGAGATATTTTTTCCACAGGCTTTAGGATTCTAGGTTTGCCATTTTTTGTTTTCTTTCAGCAATTTAGAAATGCCTTCCCATTGCCTTCTGGCTTGCATTATTTCTGGAGAGAAGTCATCAGTATTTTTAAAAATCTTCGTGCCTCTGTATGTATGTCTTTTGTTGTTGTCGTTGTTGTTGAGACGAGGTGTTGCTCTGTTGCCCAGGCTGGAGTGCAGTGACACAATCTCAGCTCACTGCAAACTGTGCCTCCCGGGTTCAAGCGATTCTCCTGCCTCAGCCTCCCGAGTAGCTGGGATTACACGTGCCCACCACCACACCCAGCTAATTTTTGTATTTCTAGTAGAGATGGGTTTTCACTATGTTGTCCAGGCTGGTCTCATACTCCAGACCTCAGGTGATCTGCCTACCTTGGCCTCCCAAAGTTCTGGGATTACAGGCGTGAACCACTGTGTAATATGTCTTTTAAGATTTTTTCTTTTTCACTGGTTTTCTGCAACTTAATTAGGATATGGCTTGATGTAGTTTTGTCTTTGTTATGTCTCGTGGCTTGTTGAGCTCTCAGATCTGTGAGTTCATAGTTTTCATCAAATTTGAAATATATTTGGCTATTATTTCTTCAATATTTTTTCTGCTTTCCCTTCTGGAACTCTAATTACAAGTACGTTAAACAGCTTGATGGTGTCTAATAGGTCACTAAGACTTGGTTTATTTTTTTTTCCTCTCTGTGCTTTGGTTTGGAAAGTTTTCTATTACTATGTTTTTAAGTGCATTGACCTTTTATTTTACAATGTCTCATCTGCTGTCAACCACATAAAATCATAATCATTTTATTTCAGATATAGTATATTCCTACTCCACAGAGCACCATTTGGTTCTTGGGATGAGGAGGTGTCCCAGGATCATCATCATAGATCAGTGGACTTCCTGCTTATAAATGCCAATATATTCATAAGAAAAAGACGGTTGAATCCTGCCAATCCATAGCACAATGGCTTTTGTACTCCAGGGGAAACTGGTAGTGGTAGCAAATATCTTTTATTTTTCCTTAAACAATTTAACAAAGGGAGTCAGGTACGTTAAAGAACTCTGGAGAGTCAATCAGGTTTGTGTGTGTGCCACAATTTCTTGAGGTGGAGAAGCTGAGCTTTTTTCCTAAACACCAGAATGGAAGAGGTCATAGGACAGTAAGAATGATTAATAATGCCCTTAGACTCTGGTGCTTATATGACCCCTAGCCAAGTCACTTCAATATGTCTGAGCACCAGTTTTCTTATCTGTCAATTGGTGATAGTAATGCCTGTCCCAGTTGCCAGGGAAGGATGTTGTGTAAGTTATGGAAGACAATGAAGGTGAAAAGTTTTTGTGAACTTCAAAGTGCCACACAAATGAAAGGTGCTATTTGCTGGTGCTTCTGTTCTGGCACAATCATCTGGACCTTTCTCTGGCAGAAGCCAGAGCCCCTCCTTCTTACTTGCTCTCTCTTTCTCTCTTTTTGTCTCAGGTTCCAGGGAGTTGGGCTACTTCTGAGGACATCCACTAGGCATGTTTATAGCAGCTTTTTTGGCAAGGGCCCCAAACTGTAAACAACCCAAGTGTTCATCAACAGATAAATGGATCAACAAATCATGGTACATCAATATAATGGAATACCACTCAGCAGTAAGAATGAATTAGTTACTGATACACATGACAACATGGGTGAATACAAAAATAATTATGCTAGTGAAAGAAGCTAGATCCTGCCCCCACCAAAGAACAAACTCTCATTTATATCAAATTCTAGAAACTGCAAACTAACTGATAGTGACAGAAAGCAGATCAGTGTTGCCTTGGGATGGGTTGTGGGGGGCAGGCAAGGGCAGGAAGAATAGATTACAAAGGGCCACAAGAAAACTTTTGGGGAGTAAAGAATAATGTGTTTGTTATCTTTATTGTGGTAATGGTTTCAGGGCATATACTTTTGCCAAGACTTATAATGTACAGTTTCAATATGTGCAGTTTATTGCATGTCAATTTTATTTCTATAAAGCTGTTTTTAAAAACTATCTCCTGGCACTTTGGGAGGCCAAGGCAGGAGGAAGGATCTCTTGAGCCCAGGAGTTTGAGACCAGCCTGGGCAACACAGTAAGACCTGTCTCTACAAAAAATAAAAAATTAGCCGAGTGCAGTGGCACCTTCCTGTAGTCCCAGCTACTCAGGAGGCAGAGGTGGGAGGATCACTTGAACCTGGGAGGTCGAGGCTACAGTGAGCCATGATTGAGTCACTGAACTCCAGCTTGGGCAACAGAGTGAGACCCTGTCTCAAAAATTAAAAAAAGGCCAGGCAGGGTGGGTCATGCCTGTAATCCCAGCGCTTTGGGAGGCTGAGGTAGGCAGATCACCTGAGGTCAGGAGTTTGATACTAGCCTGGACAACAGGGCGAAATCCCATCTCTAATAAAAAATGCAAAACTTATCTGGGCATAGTGGTGTGCGCCTGTAATCCCAGCTACTCGGGAGGCTGAGGCTGGAGAATGACTTGAGCCCAGGAAGCAGAGGTTGCAGTAAGCCGAGATCATGCCACTGCACTCCAGCCTGAGTGACAGAGCGAGACTCCATCTCAAAAAACAAAACAAAACAAAAACAAAAAAACCTATCTAACAGGTTGTTTCTTATCAAAATAAATGTGCACTTATTATACTGAACAATTACACCCTTGGGCATTTATCTTAGAGAAATGAACACAAACTGTACATTGGCATTGATAGCAACTTTATCTGTATTAATATAAAACTGGAAACAAAATAAATGTCCTTCAGTGGGTAAATGGTTGAACAGACTCTGGTACATCCCTACAATGGCATACTACTCAGCAATGAAAAGGAATGAACTCCTCATACATGCAACTTGAAAGGATTATAAGGGTATATTGTGTGTAGTGATAAAAGGTGATCTCAAAAAGTTATATCCTATATGATTTCATTTACATAACACCCTCAAATGGCAAAACTGTAGAGATGGAGAGCAGGTTCGTGGTTGTTAGGAAACAGGGATGGGTTAGGAAGGTATCACCCTAAAGAAAAGGGAGTTGCTTTTTGGTGATGGAATAGTTTTGTATCTTGATTGTTGTGGTGGTTACACAATCTATATGCAGGGTTAAATTGCAAGTTGCATAGAACTACACACTCACATGCGTACACACAAATGGGTTCATATAAAAATTGGTGAAAACTGAACAAGGTCTGTTGCATACTTACTAGTGTTGTACCAATGTCAGTGTCAGTTTAGATATTGTACTTCAGTCATACAAGATGTCACCCTTGGGGAAGTTGGGTTCAAGAGACTATACTCTATTTTTTTCTTTTTTTGAGACAGAGTCTCGCTCTGTTGCCCAGGCTAAGGTGCAGTGGCACAATCTCGGCTCACTGCAACCGCCATCTCCCAGGTTCAAGCGGTTCTCCTGCCTCAGCCTCCCGAGTAGCTGGGATTGCAGGCATATGCCACCATGGCCGGCTAATTTTTGTATTTGTATTAGAGAGAGGGTTTCACCATATTGACCAGGCTGGTCTCGAACTCCTGACCTCAAGTAATCCACCCGCCTCGGCCTCCCAAAGTCCTGGGATTACAGGCATGAGCCACCACACGTGTAGAGTATAGACTCTATTTTTGAAAGTTTCTGTGAGCCTATAATTATTTTAAATAATTTTTTAAGTTAACAAACTTACATTATGGGAATAAAAAGTTTTGCTGGAGACTTCAGGTTGGGCTGGTTAAGTTAACAGCTCCCTAAAGATACATTTTATCCTCAAAGCTCTTCCTAAATCTTTTACTTAATTAAGTAGCCAGCATGAAACAAGGAGCAAATGAACTCATATTCCTCTCCACGTTAAACAAAGGCAAAACCCCCAAAATGTTGAATAAGTGTATGAACATACGGTGCTCGATTGGTCCTATTTCTTCAAGGCAGAAGCCACTAGAATATGAGTTTATAGAAGGCAGGGATAGTATCTTTATAATTCTAGCACCTAATGTAGGTTTTGGCTCATAGGAAGAGTCCAGCAAAAGCTTTGGAAGAAAGAAAAATCAGGAGGGAGGGAAACATAAGGGTGGAGAACAGGAAAGGCCCTCTTTAGTGTCTGTGCAGGAAGGATGTATTCAGTTAACAACAGATCAGTGTACAGGACCAGCTCCACATAGTGGAGGCAGTGCGGGCAAGGAAGGAAAGGTCCCACTGTGTGGACGTCTCCATCCTTACAAAGTGAGAATTAGAACTCTTGCGGCCGGGAGCGGTGGCTCACTCCTGTAATCCCAGCACTTGGGGAGGCCCAGGCGGGCACATCACGAGGTAAAGAGATCGAGACCATCCTGGCCAACATGGTGAAACCCCATCTGTACTAAAAATACAAACATTAGCTGGGCGTGGTGGCGTGTGCCTGTAATCCCAGCTACTCGGGAGGCTGAGGCAGGAGAATCACTTGAACCTGGGAGGCGGGTGTTGCAGTGAGCCGAGATTGCGCCACTGCACTCCAGCCTGGACGACAGAGCGAGACTGTCTAACATCAACAACAACAGCAAAAACAAACAAACAAACAAAAAAGAATTCTTGCTGGACTTCCCTTTCATCAGGACCAGGGCTTCTGGCTGAGGCTGCGTCTACGTAGGCAGGAGCCAGGCTGGGAATGGAGTCCAGAAAGAGTCACCAATGCAGCCTGCAGTGGAAAGATTTTATTTTATTTTATTTTACTTATTTATTTATTTACTTTATTATACTTTAATTTCTAGGGTACATGTGCACAACGTGCAGGTTTGTTACATATGTATACATGTGCCATGTTGGTGTGCTGCACCCATTATTTTATTTTTTTGAGGTGGAGTTTTGCTCTTGTCGCCCAGGCTGGAGTGCAATGGTGCAATCTTGGCTCACTGCAACCTCCGCCTCCAGGGTTTGAGTGATTCTCTTGCCTCAGCCTCCTGAGTAGCTGGGATTACAGGCACCTGCCACCACACCCAGCTAATTTTTGTATATTTAGTAGAGACGGGGTTTCACCACGTTGGCCAGGCTGGTCTTGAACTCCTGACCTCTGGTGATCTGCCCGCCTCGGCCTCCCAAAGTGCTGGGATTACAGGTGTGAGCCACCGCGCCCGGCCTTGTAGTGGAAAGATTTTAAATGATGAATATGAGCTGAAATATTGACTGACAGCCCTGATTCAGCCAAGTGTGAGCAAATACCAAACCCGGTCCAGAAGTTGGATGCGAAACCCGAGGGCAACCTACAATCAGGAGTCAGAAGGGGCCAGGATTGGGAGGCAGAAGGGGCCAGGATTGGAAGGCAGAAGGGGCCAGGATTGGGAGGCAGAAGGGGCCAGGATTGGCATGCACCAAAGATGAGTGGGGAGTGTCGAAACAGCAGAGGAGGCGGTCATCACTCTGATTTGTTCTGGTGCCCTCCTCGGTGGCTGCCCTAAAGGCATAGCCAGAGCTGACTACCTCACTGGTTACTCACTACATAAAGGAGTGAGGAGAATATGAAGCGTTTTAAAATAGCTTGGACTTATCAACCTGTTATAAAAAAACAAGTATTTATGCATATTCTAAGGGCTTCTTTCCTCAAGACTATTTTGAAGATTATGTCATTCAGTTTTGGTAGGTTGCCTGGGTTCAACATGAATAACATTACCAAATTGCTGCTTGTTCTAGTTCATACCTCCTTCTCCCATATGACTCTAAAGGCTTTCAGAAAAAATAGCACATGGCCGGGTGCGGTGGCTCACACTTGTAATCCCAGCACTTTGGGAGGCCAAGGCGGGTGCATCACAAGGTCAGGAGTTCGAGACCAGCCTGACCAACATGGAGAAACCCCATCTCTACTAAAAATATAAAAATTAGCCGAGCGTGGTGGCGGGTGCCTGTAATCCCAGCTACTCGGGAGGCTGAGGCAGGAGAATCACTTGAACCAGGGAGGCTGAGGTGGCAGTGAGCTGAGATTGCACCACTGCACTCCAGCCTGGGTGACAGAGAAAGACTCTCTCTCCCAAAAAATAAAAAGAAAGAAAAAGAAAAAATAGCACATTCCCATTTTAGGGCCTGTTTTCCACTTCATTATTTGGTTACACTGCCTCTCCTATACTTACGTGTCTTCAAGTTCCATACTTTCTCTAATAATCCTTGACACTACGGCATAGCTACTCAAGTTTACAAGGTTCAATGATAGGAATTGAGCAGAAATATGGATATTTAGTTTTTCTAGAGATGCACTGAACGTAAAACTGTGAGGCCACGTTTTCCCTTATGACGGCTCTCGACTTACACTTCTCACCCATCTTCTTAACCTTTCACACTATTTCCTGAAGCCATTTCATCTTCCTGCTAAAATGCCAACCTAAAAATAAGTAATCACACTGAAAAGGATCCAGATGGAAACAGAAAAACACGGACACACTCATTCAGGACGTGAAACATTTTCTATATTTGTCAGTAGACTTAAGTTTGCTTCTCATCTTCATTTCCATCTCATCACAGAGGCGTATTAGAAATCTTTTGACTCATTGAAACCAAGTTCATTCTATGTGGCTTTTGATTTCAAGTGATACTAGCGGATTTTATCTTTAAATAAATATGATTACTTTCTATTTTTTATTTAGTCAAACCAAGAATTCAGATTATTGTGTGTGTTCCTAAGAGGCATACTAGTTGTTCATTTCAACCAACTGGAAAAAGAAGGATACGTTGAGCTCGAGAACTTGGCAGATTCCCTAATTTCTTTTGCTGTGTGAACGTGGAAGACCTTCTAAGGCAGGTGTTTACCTGCTTGGACACAGACCATCAGGACATGAGAGTCAGAAAACCAGGTGAATGCAGCAAATTATAAGCAAAGCCAGAAATACAAAATATCAGACTAATCAGAATCTCTAACGAATTCCTACTTTTTAAAATTCTTTTTAAATTATCTTTGTAGAAGAACAACACACACATACACTTATACCAGAGGACGTTTAGCAAGTTCCTTGATTTCAAGGAAGCTTCTGATATAAGTCCACATTTGTTTATAATTCTCATATCTTCCTTATCTATAGTCCTGTTCAATGGCAACTGGCACTCAGAATAAGAAATTTGAGACACCACAAGATATGAAATTACCAAAGAAAAAAATAATGTATCCTCATTATCAAGGCAATAAATCCTTCCATACTGTATTAGAATATTTATCAGAATAAAGAGTTGAAACAAAAAATGTTTACTGAATAACTATCTCTTAGCCAAGAGAGGTCTCCCCTAGGCACCAGGATGAATATTTATGAACTTGTATTGAAGAATTATAAATTTTAGGACCAAGTTAATAATCTGAGTCACTGAGGTCTATAAATTATCCCCCACAATTGAAAAAAAAATTATTCCCTAAATTGTGGTGCTTTAGAAAATGGCCTAAAAGTGAGACTTTTAGGCCTATTGACCACTGTCAATAGGTTTAATTTCACATGAATTATTATTATTATTGTTATTATTGTTATTATTATTTTGGGATGGAGTCTCACTCTATCGCTCAGGCTGGAGTGTAGTGGCGGATCTTGGCTCACTGCAACCTCCATCTCCCAGGTTCAAGTGATTCTCCTGCCTCAGCCTCCTGAGTAGTTGGGATTACAGGCGCCCGCCACTACACCTGGCTAATTTTTGTATTTTTAGTAGAGACGGGGTTTCACCATGTTGGCCAGGCTGGTCTCGAACTCCTGATCTCAAGTGATCCGCCCGCCTCGGCCTCTCAAAGTGCTGGGATTATGGGTGTGAGCCACTGCACCTGGCCTAATTCCACATGAATTATCAGCCACAATTCGACTATCTTGTGGGCTCCAAAAATGTTTTTAAATTTTAAAGTACAGGTTCAGGCCGGGCAAGGTGGCTGACGCCTGTAATCCTAGCAGTCTGGGAAGCTGAGGCAGGTAGATCACCTGAGGTCAGGAGTTTGAGACCATCCTGGCCATCAAGGGGAAACCCTGTCTCTACTAAAAATACAAAAATTAGCTGGGCGTGGTGGTGCATGTCTGTAATCCCAGCTACTCAGGAGGCTGAGGCAGGAGAATCACTTGAACCCAGGAGGCGGAGGTTGCAGTGAGCCAAGATCGCACCACTGCACTCCAGCCTGGGCGACAGAGCGAGACTCTGTCTCAACAACCAAACAAACAAAGTACAGGGTACAGGTTCTGCAAAGGCAACCAAATGGTTGTTGTGCACATCCTCCAGAAGATGCACATCCTCCAGAAGATGTTGAGCCACAAACCACAACCAAGAGTGTGCCCCTTTAAGTATTTTGAAGGTGACGAAAGTACAACCACTCTATTCTCCCTATTCGCATGTCCAGATTCCATCATGTGCATCTTACTCAGACACAGCTGGAACCAGAGCTGGATGTGACCTCTCCCTTTTTTCAGCTCTGAGCTGTGCAAGCACTGGCATGTGACTCCAGCACAGCTGTTCATTCCCTGGTCAGGGTCTGGCCCTTTCTCTAGTGACCTGTATTGTATTCTACTCTGTAATGTAATGATTTATCTACGTATTTTATCTCACCTACTAGATTATGAATTTTTGAATGCAAGGACCATGCCTGTTTTATCTTCTTTGAAGTGACACAGATGAAAACTCACTGTAAATTTTGAAATACTTTCATGGGTCTAACTTTCTATTCTTTGTAAAATTATTTGCATTTATTAGCACCTAACACATTGCGGATGCCCAATAAAGATTTGTTGACTGAGTGAATAAATAAATGTCTCCAATTATTTCCCTCCTATCACCAGAATTCCACATGGTATCTAATAGAGTTCGGCCCAGCAAAGAGAAGGTCAACTCTCTAAAGGACATTTGTGGGAATAGAGCCCAGCAGGCTGACCTGCCATCCTCAGTTCACTGCCCATCAAGCGCACATACCGCCACCGCCTCTTCCATTTCATACTCTAGTATTTGGTTGCACCCTGCGGCATCCTGGCAAGCTGTCCAGGAAAGCTTCCTCAGGGAAATGTGGATGTCTGACCCCACACTAAAAAGGTATTTCAGGACTGGCTAGTGGAGGGGTTGCCACAAACTATCCCCACCATTTGGATGTCCAAAAATTAAGCATTAGCACAACTCTCCTCCCCCAGGTAGCAAGGGGAACAAAAATCATGGAAACTGAAGTGAGCATCGAATTAGGAGAATGGAGCAGGACGTTGGTTTTCACCTCGCTATGCCAAATGCACATGAATAAACACAACAGAGAAAGGTGTTCCGCTTTCAAAATGGACACTTTGCAAGGCTTTCTCAACTGTTTTTTTTTTTTTTTTACCACCTGTAATCTGTCTTTGAACAGGGATGTTACCTTTAAAAAAAAAAGGCAGCCGGAAGTGGTGGCTCACGCCTGTGATCCCAGCACTTTGGGAGGCTGAGGCAGGTGGATCACCTGAGGTCAGGAGTTTGAGATCAGCCTGGCCAACCTGGTGAAACCCCATCTCTACTAAAAATATAAAAATTACCTGGGCATGGTGGTGGGCGCCTGAAATCCCAGCTACTCGAGAGGCTGAGGCAGGAGAATTGCTTGAACCCAGGAGGCAGAGGTTACAGCGAGCCAAGATCAGCCATTGCTCTCCAGCCTGGGTGACAGAGCGAGACTCTGGCTCAAAAACAAACAAACAAACAAACAAAAAGCACAACCTTGTTTCAGTAACATATGTGGAAAAACTCTACATAAATCACTTTCTCATTATGAAATACTTCTCCTGTTTTAAAAACCAAAATCAGGAATTTGACTTTAAGAAAGAAAAAAATGAAATTTCGTAATGGCCGCTTTCTGCAGTGAATTAATATCTAGAGGCCCACTGACCACCTGCTCGCAGCCTGTCCTGCGTTCTTACCCAGTCACAGGTGAACTCAGAAGCACTTGGGTTTATGACATATTTGCAATGCTCCGTTTAGAACATTTACCAACTGCTGTATCTTTTTCCACAGAGTCTCACTATTTCATTATAAAGACTAGAAGAACAGCCCCTTGTTCTCAGGCAAGAAAACACAGAAGCTTCATTTGTTGATTATTTTTAACTACT